>NC_000020.11:3551183-3702698 GCF_000001405.40 Homo sapiens | reverse complement strand
GACATGAGGCTTCTTTACCGCTAAATTCCTAAGATCATTCTCTTACATATCCACAATGCAATGATCATGATCAGGAAAATTAGCATTGATAGAAGACTTTTTTTTTTTTTTGAGATGGAGTCTCACTGTGTTGCCCAGGCTGGAGTGCAATGGTGCTATCTTGGCTCACTGCAATGTCCGCCTCTGGGGCTCAAGCGATTCTCCTCCTGCCTCAGCCTCCTGAGTAGCTGGGATTACAGGCACCCACCATCCTGCCTGGCTAATTTTTGTGTTTTTGTAGAGACAGGGTTTCACCATGTTGGCCAGGATGGTCTTGAACTCCTGACCTCACGTGATCCACCTACCTCGGCCTCCCAAAGTACTGGGATTACAGGTATGAGCCACTACACCTGGCTGATAGAAGACTGTTATCTAAGCTATAATCTATATTCACATTTTACCAGTGGACCTAATACTGTCTTTTGTAGCCATTTTTTTTCTGGTCCAGAATACAATCACAGTTCACATATTGCATTGGGTCGTTGCGTCTCTTCATTCTCCGTTAGTCTGAGACTGTTCCTCAGTCTTTCCTTGTCATTCTTGACATTGAAACTTGCAGAGTGCAGGCCTGCTGTTCTGAGGAGGTCCCTCACTCCACATTTGCCTGACTTGAATGGCCTGAGACCATGCCCTCTGGGTGGGAAGGCCGCGGACATGCTGCTCTGCCCTGTCAGGAGGCACTCTGTGTCAGCTTGTCCCATTGCTGATGATGCTCACTTTGGTCACCTGGCTGAGGTGCTGTCCCTCACCAGGTCTCTCTATTAGTTTTCTCATCTTTGAAGTGGGGCTTTTATCCCCACTTGCAGGGTGGCCTTGAACACTGACTGGGACAACAGAGTGACGTACCCAGCCCAGCCAAGGACAAAAGTGTATTCAGCAGGCACTCAGGCACTTTGGGATCACCCCCTTCTCACAGGGCAGTGTGGGACAAAGCGGTGCAGAGGTCACGGGTTGTATCAGGGTATCCAGGGAATGCCCTTGTCTGAGGGTGACAGGCCCACCTCTCGTCTCCACACAGACCCGCCTCTCACTCCAGTCCTGACAGCCTTCCTGGAGACCCAGGCGGGACTTGTGGGCATCCTTCACTGCTCTGTGGTCAGTGAGCCCCTGGCCACACTGGTGCTGTCACATGGGGGTCATATCCTGGCCTCCACCTCCGGGGACAGTGATCACAGCCCACGCTTCAGTGGTACCTCTGGTCCCAACTCCCTGCGCCTGGAGATCCGAGACCTGGAGGAAACTGACAGTGGGGAGTACAAGTGCTCAGCCACCAACTCCCTTGGAAATGCAACCTCCACCCTGGACTTCCATGCCAATGGTAAGATGGGCACTGGCAGCCAGGGAGAGTGGAGGGAGCCTGAGGAGGAGCCTGCTCCAGTCTGTTCCTTCTAGAAGTCTAGTGGACTCAACCGCAGGACTGAGCTAACTGGCTACGCCACATAAAAGACAGGGGCTGTGCAGTGACCCAACGGCAGAGCTTCCTGGAAGTCAAGGGAAAAAGGGAAACACAACAGGTCACATCATTCCTTTTGCACCTACCCTGACCCTAAACTTGGAGAGTCCCTCAGAAGCATTCATTGTTTTTTAATTATGAAACTCTGGGAGCAGGCTCTATGCTAGCAGTCAGATGTGGGAAGCCAAATAGAAAAGTAGGGTCTTCTGGCTGGGCGTGGTGGCTCACTCCTGTAATCCCAGCACTTTGGGAGGCCGAGGTGGGTGGATCACGAGGTCAAGAGATCGAGACCATCCTGGCCAACATGGTGAAATCCCATCTCTACTAAAAATACAAAAATTAGCTGGGCATGGTGGTGAGTTCCTGTAGTCCCAGCTACCTGGGAGGCTAAGGCAGGAGAATCGCTTGAACCCAGGAGGTGGAAGTTGTAGTGGGCCAAGATAGCGCCACTGCACTCCAGCCTGGGTGACAAGAGTGAGACTCTGTCTCAAAAAAAAAAAAAAAAAAAAGAAAAAGAAAAAAGAAAAGTACGGTCTTCCAACTTTCGGTATGTGCACTGTCCTTCCCTCCTCCTGAGGGCATGGTAGCTAATTGATCAAGCCAGGTTTTTCTTTTTGTTTTTTGAGATAGGGTGTTGCTCTGTTGCCCAGGCCGGAGTGCAATGGTATGTTCATGGCTCACTGCAGCCTCAAACTCCTGGGCTCAAGCCATCCTCCCATCTCAGCCTCCCAAATAGCTGAGACTACGGCCCATGTCACCACACCCAGCTAATTAAAAAAAAAAAATTGTGGCCAGGCATGGTGGCTCATGCCTGTAATTCCAGCACTTTGGGAGGCCGAGGCAGGCAGATCACCTGAGGTCAGGAGCTTGAGATCAGCCTGGCCAACGTGGTGAAACCCCGTCTCCACTAAAAATACAAAAATTAGCCGGGTGTGGTGGCGCACACCTGTGGTCCCAGCTACTAGGGAGGCTGAGGCAGGATAATTGCTTGAACCTGGGAGGCAGAGGTTGTAGCGAGCTGAGATTGCGCCACTGCACTCCAGCCTGGCTGACGGAGCAAGACTCCGTCTCAAAAAAAAAAAAAAAAAAAAAAAAAAAAAGCTGGCCACAGTGGCTCACACCTGTAATCCCAGCACTTTGGGAGGCTGAGGCGGGTGGATCACCAGAGGTCGGGAGTTCGAGATCTGCCTGGCTAACATGGTGAAACCCTATCTCTACTACATGTATAACATTAGCTGGGTGTGGTGGCACACCTGTAATCCCAGCTACTTGGGAGGCTGAGGCAGGAGAATCGCTTGAACCTGGGAGGCAGAGGTTGCAGTGAGCCAGGATCACACCACTGCACTCCAGCCTGGGAGACAGAGTGAGACTCAGTCTCAAAAAAAAAAAATTGTTTGAGATGGAGTCTCACTATGTTGCCTAGGCTGGTCTGGAACTCCTGGCCTCAAACGATCCTTCTGCCTCAGTCTCCCAAAGTGCTAAGATTACAGGCATGAGCTACCATGCCCAGCCAAGCCAGGTGTTGGACATAAGCCTGGGCTCTGGCTCTGAATCTTCAACCATGCTGCAGCCATCTACTACCAATAGATCTGATTTGGCATTAAAGGGCAAACCCTCCTGATGCACCACAAAGCCCAGAGCTACCTACAGTAGTGTGGGGAAAGGAGAACCCTGGAAGGCTTTCTATATAGGGCAGCATGTGGGGTTGAGAGGAGGGACCCTTCCCAGCCTCTTCCTCTCCCCGCAGCCGCCCGTCTCCTCATCAGCCCGGCAGCCGAGGTGGTGGAAGGACAGGCAGTGACACTGAGCTGCAGAAGCGGCCTAAGCCCCACACCTGATGCCCGCTTCTCCTGGTACCTGAATGGAGCCCTGCTTCACGAGGGTCCCGGCAGCAGCCTCCTGCTCCCCGCGGCCTCCAGCACTGACGCCGGCTCATACCACTGCCGGGCCCGGGACGGCCACAGTGCCAGTGGCCCCTCTTCGCCAGCTGTTCTCACTGTGCTCTGTGAGCAGCCACCACCTGTTGCAGCCTCCTGCCGGGACCCACCAGCCACCCCACCTCCTCTAGGCCCCCCAGCCCTGTCCTGCCCTGCCCCACGGTCTATATCGGGAGGGCTGGGTCACAGACCTGGCCACAGTGGGTCTTTCCATGTGGGGCTGAAGTTTAGGAAATGAGGCTGGGGCCTTCTCTACCTCCCCATGTCTTTACCCTCCAATGCCAGCCCTGTGGGCTCCTCTGTCCCAGCCTCAAGCTCAGCATGGGCACCACATCCATGCTTTGTCCTCATGGGTGAGCCCTGGGACACCACACTCCTCTATTTGTGCACATGCCCCACAGGCTGTGCTGGGCTCCCATAGACACCAAGGCAAAGCCCCTCAGCACAGGGACAGACAGCCCCTCTGCATCCGCCAAGCGGGGAGGCTCCGTGTAAGACCAAGGGCCTGATTCCAGAGGCTTCCCCTGACACATGTGTGCCGGAGCCACGTCCCGGAACTGTCAGAGGGCAGCTGCCTCTGCAAAGTTTTCTGGTGTCTGAGTGAGATCACATGGGGGCCTTGGCTGATTGCTCTCTTTTGGCCAACTGTCTCCAGAAGCCTTCAGGAAGAGGCCATTCTATGCATTCGCTAGTATCACAGGAGCTGGCTTGGAGATCACAGATAAGCTGCAGGGCAGATCTTGAGGGGAGGCTCCGTGGTAAGGCATTGGGTGCAGGGTGGGAGCAGACAGCATGACCCCCAGGGATTGCTAGGTGGGCACCCTGCTCAGCAGCAGATGGGACTTATGCAAGGTGGCAGCCAGCCCATACAGCACCTTTGTCTGAGCTAGAAAATGGTGCTCCTTCTTCTGGGAAGACTCAGTAGGCATCAGGGCACAGCTTAGCTTGAGGAGCATGAGCCTAGCTTGAGTTCCACCCACCCTGGTCTGGCTGCCCTTGTGCAGTGCACAGTCTGCACAGCTGCTTGGGGCAGCCTTCGGGATCTGCCTTTGTCCAGTGTATTCTGGGAGCCTAGCCAGGCTTGTGGGGCCCTGGAGCATCCGTGGGATGAGTGCCCATGTTCTTCCTCCCTGCAGACCCCCCTCGACAACCAACATTCACCACCAGGCTGGACCTTGATGCCGCTGGGGCCGGGGCTGGACGGCGAGGCCTCCTTTTGTGCCGTGTGGACAGCGACCCCCCCGCCAGGCTGCAGCTGCTCCACAAGGACCGTGTTGTGGCCACTTCCCTGCCATCAGGGGGTGGCTGCAGCACCTGTGGGGGCTGTTCCCCACGCATGAAGGTCACCAAAGCCCCCAACTTGCTGCGTGTGGAGATTCACAACCCTTTGCTGGAAGAGGAGGGCTTGTACCTCTGTGAGGCCAGCAATGCCCTGGGCAACGCCTCCACCTCAGCCACCTTCAATGGCCAGGGTGAGTCAGGCAGGGAATGGGTGGCCTGGGGGCAGGGGCTGGAGCTCTGGACTGTTCTGCTCCGAGGAGGATCTAATCAGGCAAAACCACTCTGTGCAGCAGTGGGGGCCCTTCGCTGCCCTCCTCCACATTCAGGAAGAGCGGAGCTGCTCCTTCCCATGATCTCTGTTCAGGCCGGGGATAGGCAACACAGCTGGTCTCTGAGGAAGGACTCCCCAGCTGGGACAGTTGGGCTGCCTTGTCCTCCTTCCCTGTACTGCAACCCTCTCTGCCCAGGGCCCCCACAGTCCCCAGGGCCCACTTCTCCTAGGCTGCCCTGTGAGCTAGCTTGCTTTTCTCCCCAACCCTGTGGGCACCCCAGGGGGCCTCCTTCCTGCTCCTTCCAGGCTGGGCGGCTGGACCCCTGGCTCCTGGGGGCCGGGGGTGGTCAGTAAGCTGTGCCGCCTGCTCTCCAGCCACTGTCCTGGCCATTGCACCATCACACACACTTCAGGAGGGCACAGAAGCCAACTTGACTTGCAACGTGAGCCGGGAAGCTGCTGGCAGCCCTGCTAACTTCTCCTGGTTCCGAAATGGGGTGCTGTGGGCCCAGGGTCCCCTGGAGACCGTGACACTGCTGCCCGTGGCCAGAACTGATGCTGCCCTTTACGCCTGCCGCATCCTGACTGAGGCTGGTGCCCAGCTCTCCACTCCCGTGCTCCTGAGTGTACTCTGTGGGTGACTGGCATGGGCAGCCTGGGGACTTGGAGGGTGGAGGGGTGGTCTGGGGAGAAGCAGGGGCCGGGCTGGGGTTTGGGGAGGAAAGAGCATGGCTTAGGCTGTGTGTGTGGCAGGAGGTGGGGGACATAGTGTGGCAGTTGTAATGTGGTGAGCTAGGCTGGGTGGCCTCAGCTCCCTCTGTTCCTGCAGATCCCCCGGACCGTCCAAAGCTGTCAGCCCTCCTAGACATGGGCCAGGGCCACATGGCTCTGTTCATCTGCACTGTGGACAGCCGCCCCCTGGCCTTGCTGGCCTTGTTCCATGGGGAGCACCTCCTGGCCACCAGCCTGGGTCCCCAGGTCCCATCCCATGGTCGGTTCCAGGCTAAAGCTGAGGCCAACTCCCTGAAGTTAGAGGTCCGAGAACTGGGCCTTGGGGACTCTGGCAGCTACCGCTGTGAGGCCACAAATGTTCTTGGATCATCCAACACCTCACTCTTCTTCCAGGTCCGAGGTGAGTGTCAGTCTTCTGAAGATATGGTAGACTCTGATGCCCTGGGGACTACTCTGGTCAGACTTTGGGCTGGGTGCTGTGAATTTTGTGCAGAAATATGTCTTTTTCAGTCCTGGTAAGGGCAGTTTCCAGCCAGCAGAAGGCCTCCCTTTGCCTCCAGCTAGATATTTTCACCTGTAATAACTGCAGCAGCCACTAGGAGGCAATGGCAATTCACAGAGTGGCTTGCTTGGTGGGAGCACTTTCTGAAATAACTTGTTTTGTGATCATATAATTTTGTTACATAGTAAACATTCTCATACATATGTATATTTATATTATGCATATATGTTTATGTATGAGTATATACACATACAAATATACATTATGTGTATTCTTATGCATAATATATTCATATTCTTTATTTATATACACATACGTGTGTGTGTGTGTGTGTGTGTGTGTTTGTGTGTGTGTATATATATAGTCTCTATAAAAATCCTCCCTCAGGCCGGGCACCATGGCTCATGCCTGTAATCCCAGCACTTTGGGAGGCTGAGGCGGGCGGATCACTTGAGGTCAGGAGTTCAAGACCAGCCTGGCCAACACTCTACTAAAAATACAAAAATTAGCTAGGTGTGGTGGTGGGCATTTGTAATCCCAGTTACTCGGGAGGCTAAGGCAGGCGAATCGTTTGAACCTGGGAGATGGAGGTTGCAGTGAGCCAAAATTGTACTTCACTCTAGCCTGGATGACAGAGTGAGACTCTGTCTTAAAAAAAAAAAAATTCTCCCTAAACAAATAAACCAGGAAAAAGGAAAGATAATGCCCATAATGCGAAGGTCAAAGGAACATGAGTGTTTCTTCCACCACGGTGACCGACAGCACCAATTTTGGGACATTTACTTTGAGCCTTGGTTCTGTGTATCTTTTCTTACTTAGCATACCTATTTCGCAGGAAGAAATTGAAGGTTTGAGTTTTAGGAGCTTTTCCCCAGTTGCATGACCCTGCTAGCTGTGGTCTCAGGCATGGTCTGTGTTCTTGCTTAGCATTCCAGCTGTCCCTCCATCTCACTCCCTGCAACCTGGGGTTCTCCTGCTTCACACCCAGGGGCCACTGAGGAGCTGCCCTTTGCCTGGTCCCCAGGTCCTGTGCTCTTGTGGCCTGGAGTCTGGATGCAGGGCTGGCCTGGCGAGAGCGCTCAAGATAACATAGCTGCTAACATTCCCTTCCAAGCCCTCGGTCACCCATGCTGAGTCCAGATCCTAGTTAGGACAATGGCCCCGGGATGATCTAAATCCCTCCCTTTTCAGTACTTTATGGGTTGAACCAACATTTGTCAGGAGCTAACACATGCAGGCACAGTGCCTGGAACTGGGGTTACAGGTCACACAAGTCCAGTGCCCATAAGGCTTACGCTTTGGTAGGCGAGATATGACTGACACAGTAAAACCATCCCACCAGGTGGTGGGAGGTAAATGCCAGGATGGAGCCTGTGCAGGAGAGTGGGGAGCAGGAGGGGCCAAGGCATAGGGCTGAGTGGGCCCTGGCGGTGGTCTGGAAGGGGCTGCGGCTCCAGCACATGGGGTTGGGTTGTGTAGTCCTAGGTGGACACGCACATGGTCCCAGACTGTGAGAGGTGTGGTGGAGAGCCCTCACCTGCTCTTGGTTTTCCCCTGCAGGAGCCTGGGTCCAGGTGTCACCATCACCTGAGCTCCAAGAGGGCCAGGCTGTGGTCCTGAGCTGCCAGGTACACACAGGAGTCCCAGAGGGGACCTCATATCGTTGGTATCGGGATGGCCAGCCCCTCCAGGAGTCGACCTCGGCCACGCTCCGCTTTGCAGCCATAACTTTGACACAAGCTGGGGCCTATCATTGCCAAGCCCAGGCCCCAGGCTCAGCCACCACGAGCCTAGCTGCACCCATCAGCCTCCACGTGTCCTGTAAGGACTTTTGTCCCATCCAGGTGTGGGGGAAGGAATGCAGTCCCCCAGTCCTGGGCTGTGTCACATGACAGAGCCCTGGATGAGGGACCCCCCTGGCTGGGTCCTGACCACTCCCCACCCTGTGTAGATGCCCCACGCCACGTCACACTCACTACCCTGATGGACACAGGCCCTGGACGACTGGGCCTCCTCCTGTGCCGTGTGGACAGTGACCCTCCGGCCCAGCTGCGGCTGCTCCACGGGGATCGCCTTGTGGCCTCCACCCTACAAGGTGTGGGGGGACCCGAAGGCAGCTCTCCCAGGCTGCATGTGGCTGTGGCCCCCAACACACTGCGTCTGGAGATCCACGGGGCTATGCTGGAGGATGAGGGTGTCTATATCTGTGAGGCCTCCAACACCCTGGGCCAGGCCTCGGCCTCAGCTGACTTCGACGCTCAAGGTCAGTGTGTGTGTGTGTGTGTGTGTGTGTGTGTGTGTGTGTGTGTCCTTTAAAAGAGGAGAGGAGGTGGGACAGGGTTCTAGAAGCCTGGGGGCACGGGAATAGTCCCCATTCCCACCCTTCCTAACGATGGTGGACTCCAGACTTGAGTTTCTTAGGAGAACCTTTTATAAACACCAAATTTTACAAGTATGCCCAGTGGATAAAACTAAACAGGGAATTTCAGGAGAAAGTGCAGCAGGGGAGGGGAGGTCTGTGGTCTCCCCATTTGCCCCCAGCCAGGGTCAGGGAGGGGCTCAGGGCTTTCCAGGACTCTGTGGAACTCTACTTGGGACCACTCAGGAGCCAGTGGGCTATTCCCAAGCTTGACTTCTAAGCCACATTTATAGGTGGGCCACCCAAGGCTCCCAAAGGCCAAGGGGCTCCCCAGCAGTAGGAGTAGCTCACCCACATGGAGACAGGTGGCCTGCTGTACACAGCCTCAAGACCCTCACTGGTGTCCTGTGCCCTCCCTCTCCCCAGCTGTGAATGTGCAGGTGTGGCCCGGGGCTACCGTGCGGGAGGGGCAGCTGGTGAACCTGACCTGCCTTGTGTGGACCACTCACCCGGCCCAGCTCACCTACACATGGTACCAGGATGGGCAGCAGCGCCTGGATGCCCACTCCATCCCCCTGCCCAACGTCACAGTCAGGGATGCCACCTCCTACCGCTGCGGTGTGGGCCCCCCTGGTCGGGCACCCCGCCTCTCCAGACCTATCACCTTGGACGTCCTCTGTGAGTCTGGCTGGATGCAGGGTGGGACTCACAGGAATGACAGAAGCCCACAGGGATCACGGCATGGCCGGAACCCGACAGGTGTCCAGTGGGGAACTCGGTACCCAGTAGCTAGTGGAGCACTGGGCAAGGAGCATTAAGAGTAGGGGGCGCTGGGGTGAGTCCTGTCTGGGCAGAGGAGCAGTGCCTCAGACTGGGTGGTTGGGAGCCATAGGGGTGGGGAGCCAGGGCCCTCCTGAGTTTGAATGCCACCTGCAAACTGGCCTCCTGCAGGCTGCTGCCTGTGACTCCGTGTAAGCCTCTCATGCCCTGCAGACGCGCCCCGCAACCTGCGCCTGACCTACCTCCTGGAGAGCCATGGCGGGCAGCTGGCCCTGGTACTGTGCACTGTGGACAGCCGCCCGCCCGCCCAGCTGGCCCTCAGCCACGCCGGTCGCCTCTTGGCCTCCTCGACAGCAGCCTCTGTCCCCAACACCCTGCGCCTGGAGCTGCGAGGGCCACAGCCCAGGGATGAGGGTTTCTACAGCTGCTCTGCCCGCAGCCCTCTGGGCCAGGCCAACACGTCCCTGGAGCTGCGGCTGGAGGGTAAGGCAGGGCCTAGGCCAAGCCCACTGGGATGGAAGCCCACTGTGGTGTCCGGCTGGGCCCGGCTGATCCTGGCCTCCTTGGCACAGGTGTGCGGGTGATCCTGGCTCCGGAGGCTGCCGTGCCTGAAGGTGCCCCCATCACAGTGACCTGTGCGGACCCTGCTGCCCACGCACCCACACTCTATACTTGGTACCACAACGGTCGTTGGCTGCAGGAGGGTCCAGCTGCCTCACTCTCATTCCTGGTGGCCACGCGGGCTCATGCAGGCGCCTACTCTTGCCAGGCCCAGGATGCCCAGGGCACCCGCAGCTCCCGTCCTGCTGCCCTGCAAGTCCTCTGTGAGCAGAGGGTCCTTGGCCAGGGCTGCCCAGGAGGAGGGTGGTGGAGGGTGCTTCTGGGCTCTGGTGGGAGTGGGCAAAGGACTGCAGTGGGCCCAGGAATGGGCAGTTGGGGAAAGAGGACATAGGTGCTAGAGAAAGAGACAGTCCTATAAGCCCTGCCTGGAGCACTCTGCCCACAGGACTCCTGGGAAGGTGTCACTTCTAGGAAGTGGCCATTGGTCCAGAGGCCTCAGCCTGACCAACCCCAGGCAGCTAGGCAATGAGCAGTACAGGGTGCCTAAGCAAGGTCCCCATCTGTGCCCTGCCTGCCCACAGATGCCCCTCAGGACGCTGTCCTGTCCTCCTTCCGGGACTCCAGGGCCAGATCCATGGCTGTGATACAGTGCACTGTGGACAGTGAGCCACCTGCTGAGCTGGCCCTATCTCATGATGGCAAGGTGCTGGCCACGAGCAGCGGGGTCCACAGCTTGGCATCAGGGACAGGCCATGTCCAGGTGGCCCGAAACGCCCTACGGCTGCAGGTGCAAGATGTGCCTGCAGGTGATGACACCTATGTTTGCACAGCCCAAAACTTGCTGGGCTCAATCAGCACCATCGGGCGGTTGCAGGTAGAAGGTGAGTGGAAGAGAGGGGAGGAGGAGGGGCTCTGATGCTCTCAGGTCCAAGTCCACGAGAGGGGCTGGAGCTCCCACTAGAGCGGGCTGTCTGGTCTGAGAAAGCTCTGCCTTGAGAAGCCTAATCTGGTGGAGGGGGCACAGCTCCCACTGGAGGGGGCATGGTTCCACCTTGGAAAGCCCTATACCAAGTCAGACTGAGACCTTCCCACAATGTGCAGAGGCCCCTCAGAGGTCCCACCCAGAGGCTCCAGCCCCCAAGGCCTACAGATCCCCAATCATCTCTCTATCCTCCGCCCGCAGGTGCACGCGTGGTGGCAGAGCCTGGCCTGGACGTGCCTGAGGGCGCTGCCCTGAACCTCAGCTGCCGCCTCCTGGGTGGCCCTGGGCCTGTGGGCAACTCCACCTTTGCATGGTTCTGGAATGACCGGCGGCTGCACGCGGAGCCTGTGCCCACTCTCGCCTTCACCCACGTGGCTCGTGCTCAAGCTGGGATGTACCACTGCCTGGCTGAGCTCCCCACTGGGGCTGCTGCCTCTGCTCCAGTCATGCTCCGTGTGCTCTGTGAGTGTGAACCCCCTCCTCCGCCTTAGTCTCCCCACATCTCACACGCCCACCTCAGTTCTTCCTCCTCTTCTGTCTGCCAAGAGTGAAGGCTTCACGGATATTGAGTCCTGGGTTGGAATCCTGGCTCTCCCGCTGTCTGGTTGGGTGACCTTGTAAAATGGGGAATACATCATTCGCCTCATCCTGCAAGTTGTATAAGAAATAAATGGCTGGTGCAGGGGCTTATGCCTGTAATCCCAGCACTTTGAGAGGCTGAGGTGGGCGGATCACTTGAGGTCAGGAGTTCAAGACTAGCCTGGTCAATATGGCGAAACTCCGTCTCTACTAAAAATACAAGAATTAGCACGGCATGAAGGCACACACCTGTAATCCCAGCTATTCAGGAGGCTGAGGCAGGAGACTCACTTGAGCCTGGGAGGTGGAGGTTGCAGTGAGCCAAGATCACCACAACGCACTCCAGCCTGGGTGACAGACTGAGACTCTGTCTCAAGAAAAAAAAAAAAAAAAGAAAAGAAAAGAAGAGAAAAAACCAAAAGAAATAAAGCGTGCTGAGTGTGTCTGGCACACGATAAGCCCTCATCAGTCTTGGTCTCCCACTCCAGCCTTCACCAAGGCCTACACTGTATCAGTCAGCTATTGCTATTGACCACAACAAAACTTACTGCTTCAAACAAAAGTCATGTTATCTGCTCAATTCTGTGGGCTGGGCTCAGCTGGGGAGTTCTTCTGTTGTTCACACCTCATGTGGCTGCAGTTGCCCAGTGGTCTCAGATGACTGCACGCTCCTGGCTGCCAGTTGGGCCACATGTGCCCAGCAGGCTGGCCTGGGCTTCCCACATTGTTGTGTTCCAACAAGTAGAGCAGAAGCTACAAGGCCTCTTGAGGTCTGGCTCTGAAGTTGCACAACATCACTTCTTTCTTCAATTGGTCAAACTGAGTCACAGATTCAAGGAGTGAGGAAATAGGTTCTGCCTCTTAATGGGAGGAGCAGCAAAGTCACTGTGCATGGGTACAGGGAGGGAGAAATTTGTGGTCATTGTCTGCAATCACCACACTCCCTTCCTCCCCACAGACCCTCCCAAGACGCCCACCATGATGGTCTTCGTGGAGCCTGAGGGTGGCCTCCGGGGCATCCTGGATTGCCGAGTGGACAGCGAGCCGCTCGCCAGCCTGACTCTCCACCTTGGCAGTCGACTGGTGGCCTCCAGTCAGCCCCAGGGTGCTCCTGCAGAGCCACACATCCATGTCCTGGCTTCCCCCAATGCCCTGAGGGTGGACATCGAGGCGCTGAGGCCCAGCGACCAAGGGGAATACATCTGTTCTGCCTCAAATGTCCTGGGCTCTGCCTCTACCTCCACCTACTTTGGGGTCAGAGGTGAGGGGAGGGGGCTCCATCTCCCAGGCCACTCTGCACAAAAGCCCAGCTCTTAGGCCCAAAGGCTTCCTTCCCTGTATCCCTCCTGCTGCAGCATGATTTGCCTGTCGACTCTAAACTGATTGCTCGGGGCACCCTTGTGTGGAGAGCTTCAGCGATAAAGCAAAAGTTAGAAGGTGTCATCTTGGGTGGGTCCCCTTGGAAGGAAGCACTGGGGGCCTGCAGCTGTGGCTGCTCTGAGTCCCGCTCTGTGTTCCAGCCCTGCACCGCCTGCATCAGTTCCAGCAGCTGCTCTGGGTCCTGGGACTGCTGGTGGGCCTCCTGCTCCTGCTGTTGGGCCTGGGGGCCTGCTACACCTGGAGGTGGGTCTGGAGCTGGGAGTGGGCCAGAAGATTGGGGTAAGGCAGCCCACCTCGTCTTCTCCCCAAATTCCCCCAGGTCCTTTAGGACCTCCTATTAAGTTCACAGGCTGCCTACTTCCCAGACTGCCCCTCCAAATTGGAAATCCCTTCTAGAATTGTCCCTAAATCCTCCTTGCTGTAGTTTCCTTCTTTCCTCCTCTCTGCCCTGGCTGTGCTAAAGCAAGGGCTAGGGAGGAAGACAGAGGAAGCACCCACTCTCCATGAGGTTCCCACGCTCTTGTGGTCTGGAGCCAGCCTGTGGGGAGCGGGAGAGGAATGGGGGCAGGAGGTGGGGAGGGGAGAGGCTCTCTGAGTCCACTCCGGGCCTTGCAGAAGGAGGCGTGTTTGTAAGCAGAGCATGGGCGAGAATTCGGTGGAGATGGCTTTTCAGAAAGAGACCACGCAGGTATCCATTCAACACACACGGGCAGATATAATACCCAGCTAACCCACAGTGCCAACTGGCATCTGGAGACTGCTGTCATTTAGAGGATGGTGCCTGGGACCAAGGGGAGGTTGGGGAGAGTGTGCAGGGAACCAGGAGCCCCTCAGGAGATAGGAGAGCCCTGTTCTGCTCGGGGCAGAGGGAATCCCTGTGTCAGCTGGCGGCTGGCTTAGAGGACTAGGGGAGACTTTCTGGACTTGGCAGCATCCCCTCCATTTCCAAGACACGTATGTTCTGACTCCCCCACCTTTGTTCTGAGGCCTCTTCCCCACTCCCAAGCCTGCCCGTCACCTGGGCAGAAGTGAAAGTCAGTTTCTCCTCCCCTGTGGTGTGTCCCTTCTGCAGCTGATTCACCTGGTAGGCCAGGGCTCCAAGTCACACTTCCAGCCATGCACACTCCCACCAATCCTCTTGGGACCCCACCTGAGGCTGGGGGCCTGGGGGCCTGCCCTGGCTCCCAGAGGCCTCCTGTGACCAGGGTTTTCTCTGTGGGAAGCTCATTGATCCTGATGCAGCCACATGTGAGACCTCAACCTGTGCCCCACCCCTGGGCTGACCAGTGGTGTTGCCTGCCCTCCGGAGGAGAAAGTGGCCAGAATCTGTGATGACTCCAGCCTATGAATGTGAATGAGGCAGTGTTGAGTCCTGCCCGCCTCTACGAAAACAGCTCTGTGACATCTGACTTTTTATGACCTGGCCCCAAGCCTCTTGCCCCCCCAAAAATGGGTGGTGAGAGGTCTGCCCAGGAGGGTGTTGACCCTGGAGGACACTGAAGAGCACTGAGCTGATCTCGCTCTCTCTTCTCTGGATCTCCTCCCTTCTCTCCATTTCTCCCTCAAAGGAAGCCCTGCCCTTTCACATCCTTCTCCTCGAAAGTCACCCTGGACTTTGGTTGGATTGCAGCATCCTGCATCCTCAGAGGCTCACCAAGGCATTCTGTATTCAACAGAGTATCAGTCAGCCTGCTCTAACAAGAGACCAAATACAGTGACTTCAACATGATAGAATTTTATTTTTCTCTCCCACGCTAGTCTGGCTGTTACGATGGTTTATGATGTTGGGGCTCAGGATCCTTCTATCTTCCTTTTCTCTATCCCTAAAATGATGCCTTTGATTGTGAGGCTCACCATGGCCCCGCTTTGTCCACATGCCCTCCAGCCAGAAGAAGGAAGAGTGGAGGTAGAAGCACACCCATGCCCATGGTGGACGCAACTCAGAAGCTGCACAGGACTTTTCCACTCACTTCCCATTGGCTGGAGTATTGTCACATGGCTACTGCAAGCTACAAGGGAGACTGGGAAATGTAGTTTTTATTTTGAGTCCAGAGGACATTTGGAATTGGACTTCCAAAGGACTCCCAACTGTGAGCTCATCCCTGAGACTTTTGACATTGTTGGGAATGCCACCAGCAGGCCATGTTTTGTCTCAGTGCCCATCTACTGAGGGCCAGGGTGTGCCCCTGGCCATTCTGGTTGTGGGCTTCCTGGAAGAGGTGATCACTCTCACACTAAGACTGAGGAAATAAAAAAGGTTTGGTGTTTTCCTAGGGAGAGAGCATGCCAGGCAGTGGAGTTGCCTAAGCAGACATCCTTGTGCCAGATTTGGCCCCTGAAAGAAGAGATGCCCTCATTCCCACCACCACCCCCCCTACCCCCAGGGACTGGGTACTACCTTACTGGCCCTTACAAGAGTGGAGGGCAGACACAGATGTTGTCAGCATCCTTATTCCTGCTCCAGATGCATCTCTGTTCATGACTGTGTGAGCTCCTGTCCTTTTCCTGGAGACCCTGTGTCGGGCTGTTAAAGAGAATGAGTTACCAAGAAGGAATGACGTGCCCCTGCGAATCAGGGACCAACAGGAGAGAGCTCTTGAGTGGGCTAGTGACTCCCCCTGCAGCCTGGTGGAGATGGTGTGAGGAGCGAAGAGCCCTCTGCTCTAGGATTTGGGTTGAAAAACAGAGAGAGAAGTGGGGAGTTGCCACAGGAGCTAACACGCTGGGAGGCAGTTGGGGGCGGGTGAACTTTGTGTAGCCGAGGCCGCACCCTCCCTCATTCCAGGCTCATTCATTTTCATGCTCCATTGCCAGACTCTTGCTGGGAGCCCGTCCAGAATGTCCTCCCAATAAAACTCCATCCTATGACGCAACTGGAGTGAGTCTCTTTCTTGCAACCCAAACAGCTGGGCTAGAACAGAGGAGTCACATGTTAGTGGGGTTTATTCTTAGACACCATCTGTAGGAGGGGGCCAGGGGCTGCAAGTTACATGACATTTATCACAAATTACCTTACGCTGAAGTGATTTGTGTCCCTTTCTGCTCCTTGAGGCTTCGTGTGTTGCTCACATTTGCCACCCACAATGACCAGCCCCGTGCATGGCACGCAGTAGGTGGGCACGTGAACTAAGCGTTTGTCTTGTCTACATTGCTGACAGTGGGGAGGGTGGAGAACATGGACTAAATCCAGAGGTGGGACAGGGAGAGAGCAAGTCAAATGCAGCCAGATGTTTGGGGGCTGTCTGGGGAAGAGAGGGTGTAGGGAGGACCATAAGCAGCTGCTGAAGCTGCAGCTACTGGGGGGATTTGGGAATATCCGGCTTAGGAGTCTTCACCTGCTTCTGCATACTTCCAAGGGGACATATGTCCATCTTGGATTGGAGGCTCTCAGAGGGGTTAGTTGTGTCCGCTTCCAGTGGTCTGAGGCCTCCTGAGACTTTTTGTACATTCAATTAAAGTGTAACATACAGAAAAGTTCACACATTATAAATGCAACTCAAGGACTTTTCCAAAAGCGAACACACCCAGATCAAGAAATAGACCATCCTACAGTCCCCCCTTACACTCTGTACCAGTTGCAGCCCCCACAAGGGTAACTACTGTCTTGACTTCGAACACCATAGATTTGATTTGCCTGTTTTTAAACTTTACTTAAGTAGAATCACAGAGTGTGTACAATGACTTTGGAAAACTGTTTGACAATATCTATTAAAGCTAAAATACCCTTGCCCTATGAACCTGAAATTCCACCCACCTTGCCAAGGGACAAAAAGTTCCCCTCTAAATGCACCAGGCTGTCAGGGATGAAGCGTTGGCTTTGGGGCCCCCATTCACACACATGACTTTTTCCGGGGCACCCAAGCATCAGCCTGTCGTCACCAGGTGCCACCCTGGCGATCTCTGAAGGCTGGAGTCGGAGTGCCTCCCTCAGACATCCTGTTCTGCGTCACTCCTTGGGAGAAGTCGTGTTTACAGATGGTGGGTGTCACCCATGCCAAGCACTCCTAAGGGTTAATGCTCACTGGTTTGCCTGGTTCCCAGGACATTTCCTGATGCCCCTCTGGAGGGTGACGCCAACAAGCCAGTGGAGAAGCCATCTTTCCCAGGTGCTGTCAGGCGCCCCCGGAGCTGCTCGGTGCATCCTAGGATCCCTCTTCCTCAGCTTTGGTTTGATGGCCTCATCTCCTCCCCTGCAACCTCAAAATGTAAATAAACCCTTTCTCAGAGACTTCGGCAGAAAATTCCTCTGACCTGCACTTGGACACAGCTCATCTGGGTTTGGGAGGTGTCAACTGTGTAAGGATGACTCTGATCCCCATGTGGCTTTTCGACTGTGTCCCCTCTACAGTCAGTTATTAGCACTGACTGTGCTAGGAAGTGAGCAACACACATATTCCCAGACCACATGGAGCTCAGGAGCTTGGGGAGAGAGACAGGGAAGTGGACGACTACAGGGCCTTCTGAAACGTGTTGCAGGGAGAAGTGTCAGTCAGGGGATGCTAACCTGGCTTTGGGTAAGGGACAGCCTCTGAATGACAGGACATTAAAGCCATGGCCTGCAGTTTAAGTAGGAGTTGGCCAGTTCGAGGTAAGAATACCAGTAAGCAAGAACGCCAGAGTAGCTCCTCGAGCTGCCTTCTGTACCTGACATCCACACTGAAGCCAGCCCCTCTGTGTTCAGCCTTGCTTTACTGAAGAGGTGTCGCTGAGGGGCTGCTCTGGGGCGCTGCTCTGCTTTCCTGTCCCCAACTTGTTCTGAGCTCGAGCCACCTCCATACTGGTGCTCCTGGTTCTCAGGCCTTTGAACTCAAACTGAATCACACCACTGGCTTTCCTCGTTCTCCAGCTTGCAGATGGCAGATTCGGGAACTTTTTGGCCTCCATAATCACGTGAGCCAATTGCTATAATAAATATCTCTCTCCCTCTTTCTTCCTCTCTCTCTCTCTGTGCAAATATAGTTCCAATTATAAGAGCCCCTAACTGGAAAATAACCCTATGGTGCACTGGTGAGTAGAGAAACTGTGGTTCCCTCAAACCACCGAACACTATTCAGCAATACGAAGGAACAAACTATTGATATGCAAAATAGTGTAAATGAATCTCAAAAACATCGGAAAGAGGGAAGGAAGCCAGACACAGAAGAGTGCATGCCGCATGATTCCATTTATATGAAATTCTAGAACAGGCAAAACTTATCTATAGACAGAGAACAACAGATCAGTGGCTGTCTGGGGTTGGGAGTGGGCAAGTTTGGCTGGAAGGGCACAGGGCTCTTTCTGTGAGTGAGGGAATGTGTCTGCATTATAGTGATGCTTATGTAGTTATATACACTTATCGAAACTCATCTTACTGGCCACTTAAAATAAGTGCATTTTATTGTGTGTAAATTATACCTTAATGAAGTTGATTTGAAAATCCAAAGTAGTAATAATAAGTAATAATCTCGTAGCTGGACAGCTGTGGTGACTCACTCCTGTAATTCCAGCGATTTGAGAAGCTGAGGCAGGAGGATCACTTAAGATCAGGAGTTCTTTTTATTTTTATTTTTATTTTTTGAGACGGAGTTTCGCTCTTGTTGCCCAGGCTGGAGTGCAATGGCATGATCTCGGCTCGCTGCAACCTCCACCTTCTGAGTTCAAGCGATTTTCCTGCCTCAGCCTCCCAAGTAGCTGGAACTACAGGCACTCACCACCATGCCCGGCTAATTTTTGTATTTTTAGTAGAGATGGGGTTTCACCATGTTGGCCAGACTGGTCTTGAACTCCTGACCTCCAGTGATCTGCCCGCCTCGGCCTCCCAAAGTGCTGGGATTACAGGCATGAGACACTGCGCCTGGCCAAGACCAGGAGTTTGAGACCAGCCTGGGAAACAAAGTGAGACCCCCCTGTCTACAGAAAAATTAAAAATTTTAGCTGGGCCTGGTGCCGTGTGCCTGTAGTTCCAGCTACTCAGGAGGCTGAGGTGGGAGGATACCTTGAGCCCAGGATTTCAAGGCTGCAATGAGGCATGATCAGGCCACTGTCCTCTAGCGTGGGTGACAGAGTGAGACCCTGTCTCTAAATAATAATCATAAGAACAACAAGGACCCTCTAAACGCACTGATATCTAAGGTGTATTAAGCGACCAAAAAAAAAAAAAAGAAAATCAAAGTGCAGAAAAACGTTAATAAGAGAAAAAAATATGTCTGTATTGTCTTGAGTGTGAAAAAATAATCTAAAAGCCTATGAAAGAAACTAATCATATTGGTTTCCTGTTGGTGAGGAGGGCTAAGAGCACGGAGACTTTTCCCTATGCTTTCTGTACTTTTTGATTTTGAGATATGTGAATGTAGGTTTCTCTCACTGCTCGAACTTTCACTAACCAAATTACTACATTCCAAATTCTCAAAAACAAATAGATTTACTTAAAAGTAGGCTGGGTGCGGTGTCTCACGCCTGTAATTCCAGCGCTTTGGGAGGCCGAGGCGGGCAGATCACCTGAGGTCGGGAGTTCGAGACCAGCCTGACCAACATGGAGAAACCCCATCTCTACTAAAAATACAAAATTAGCCAGGCGTGGTGGCGAATGCCTGTAATCCCAGCTACTCGGGAGGCTGAGGCAGAAGAATCACTTGAATCTGGGAGGCAGAGGTTGCAGTGAGCCCAGATCATGCCATTGCACTCCAGTCTGGGTAACAAGAGAGAAACTCTGTCTCAAAAAAAAAAAAAAAAAAAAAAGATTTGCTTAAAAGTTAACATCTCCGGCCGGGCGCGGTGGCTCATGCCTGTAATCCCAGCGCTTTGAGAGGCCGAGGCGGGTGGATCACGAGATCAGGAGATTGAGACCATCCTGGCCAAAATGGTGAAACCTCGTCTCTGCTAAAAATACAAAAGTTAGCTGGGGGTGGTAGCGCGCGCCTGTAGTCCCAGCTACTCGGGAGGCTGAGGCAGGAGAATCGCTTGAACCAGGGAGTCGGAGGTTGCAGTGAGCCAAGATCGCGCCGCTGCACTCCAGCCTGGCGACAGAGGGAGACTCCATCTCAAAAAAAAAAAAAAAAAAAAAGTTAACATCTCATCCAAATTTGCACCGAGTAGGAAAACAAAAGTTTAAAACATGAAACAGATGTTACTGAGGCCGAAAGGGTCTCCCAGGCCTGGGAGTCTGCAGCTTTTATGCAATTCTGCCCTCTGGCCACCGCCAGGGAAGAAAGGTTGTCTCCGTCTGCTGCATCGCCTTTGCCCAGCAATGAAGCCCCCAAGACAGCGGCAGCCGGTTGCCTGAACCTTCCTATCCTTGGGGGCACCCAGTGCAGGTGGATGACCCGACTCAACCTCCGCCAGGGCACCCTCGGGGCAGGACGGGTAGCAAGGAGGGGACAGAGATCGGCCCCAGGAGACCACGGAAGATCGCGCTCCTGGGGCCAACTTCAGCAGCGAGAGGCGGCCTTTGCCCACCGCCTCATCCCACCACGCCGCGGTCCTCCAAGAACCTTCCCAGCGGTTCTCTCCTCCTCTCAGGAGTAGAGGCCCTCTGAGACCGACGGGGAGGGACGGCTCGGGCCGGTCATCCGAGGGGCCGCACGGATTCCCTCCTCCGCCCAGCTCCACCCCCTCGAGGGGCGGCGGTCCGGGAGTGGCGACCCGGCTCCCCCATGGCGCGCGCCGTCGGGGCCCCTGGCCAGGCTCCGAGCGGGGTTGGCGGGGAGGGGAGGCGGGAGCGAGGGCGGGCGGTGGGAGGTGGGGGCGGGAAGGTCCGAAGGCGGCGGCCTGAGGCTGCACCGGGCACGGGTCGGCCGCAATCCAGCCTGGGCGGAGCCGGAGTTGCGAGCCGCTGCCTAGAGGCCGAGGAGCTCACAGCTATGGGCTGGAGGCCCCGGAGAGCTCGGGGGACCCCGTTGCTGCTGCTGCTACTACTGCTGCTGCTCTGGCCAGTGCCAGGCGCCGGGGTGCTTCAAGGTGAGGACGCGGGCGGGGTGCGCCCTGAGGGGCAGGCTAGGCGCGGTGGTGGTGGCGGGGATGGGTTCTGCTCAGAGCTCGGGTCAGCGCGCGGAGGGTCTCACGGCCCCGGCACCATACGGCCAGTAGGTCAGGGCGTGGGGACTCTTTGGGGGGGTCTCCGTGGGACCTGCCCAGGGACGCTCAAGTGTGCTTGGGCTGGCCCCGGGCCCGGACTTGCCCACACTGCCCGGCTGCCACTCCGCTGGCAAAGCAGAGGGCATGGCTCCCTCCCCCTCGGGGGCAGCCCAGCCCCCAGCCCATAGCCGTAGCCCCCTCTTCCTGGATTCTCGCTCTCACAACCAGCTTCCATCCGCAGGCCACCGTGTGACCCGCTCCTGCTCCTCCACCCCTTAGGACTCAGCGGGGCTCCGTCCTCTAGGAAGCCCCCATGCCCAAGAGTCCCCCAGAGTCCCTGCTTTGCTCTCAGGCTGCAGAACTAGCTGTGGCCTCCACCCTGCTCACCCCTCGTCCCTCCTCCCAGGGCAGCAGGGCAGTGTGTATGTTGTTTATATTGTTGCCTTGTTTGGTGAGATAGAGAAGGGCCTCTCCAGATAGAAGGTGTCTGTTTAGCAGTGCTCTGGGAAGACTGCAGCTGTCTCCTCGGGGTAACCCCTCCAAACAAAGATGTTAAGATGGGGCTGGAACAACCTCTGCAAGCGGGTGGGAGGATTAGCCAGTCCTGCACAGCAAGTGCCTGGCCGGGAACAGGGAGGGCAACCAGGGAGGGGGCATGCGGGGCTGGGCTGTGCTATGCAGACTGGGCGGTGGCTTCCACAGCACTGTGTGGGGACCAAACAGGTACAGGGGCCTGGTCTGTTCTGGCCCCAGGGGAGGGCCCCAGGCGGTCCACTGCTCCCTCCCCTCTGAGCCCTATCCTGGGGTCAGGGGAGGTGATGGGACCCCTGGGAGAGGGGCGTCTATGTGCCCAATACCAGCCTGGCTCCCTCGGGTTCCACCCCCATTCACCCGGTCACCGGAGCTCCAGCTCCAGCTCCAGCTCTGCCCCTCTCTCCCTCATTGGGGTCAGGGTGCCCGTGGCCAGCACGTGCGCGCAAGGCCATGTGGACAGCACCCACACACCACACTGCACCCACACCACACCTGTGCCCGGGCCCACCCTACCTCTTCCCCAAACCCTTAGAGGCCTAGGAGCAGCAAAGCTTGGTTCTCTACTCTCAGTTAAGTGCTCTCTGGGCTGAGAGACCTCCCCTCCTTCCCCTCCCCCACATCCACTCAGAGCCCTCCCTGCACTGGCCCCTCTAGCCTCCTTTCCAAGGTGGCAGACTCCTCTCGGCCCTCATCTGCCTGATGGCAATTCACTCATCCAATCAAGGAGGGCTTCTTGGAGGAAGGGTCTTTGATGTTTGTAGTCTGGGAGAGAAGGTGGAGGAGAAAAAAGGAGTTGGGGTGGCCTAGCAGGAGCTGAGTCACTTCCACAGGCAGCCATCAGCCCAGCAGGACTGAGGCCAGGGCTGCGTGGAGGGGGGAGGCTGTCTGTTCTGGGAGCTGGGACTGGGTACCGGGGGAAGGAGGGCTGCTGCAGGCTCTGGGTGCCTGGGGCCTGGCTCCTGCAGGGCGGGCCTGTGAGAGTGGTTGGGGCCAGTGGAGGGCTGGGAGCATTCCAGGGGAACATTCCAGGCGCCCTCTGAGTAATGCTTGGCTCTGGGATTCCTCCTAGAGCCCCCTTAGGCACACCCGGCCAGGGAGCACCAAGGCTCCGTCCAGAAGCGTCCCCTCCCCTTGAAGAGATGAGGAGGGGCCTTCTGGGCCAGGGTACCAAAACCCTGCCACCAGGACAGAGTCCCCGAGGGAGCTCTGGGCAAGGTGGACCTCGCAAGGCAACATCTGGCTGTTGTTTTTCTCAGATGATGGGGGGGGCACAAGTGTCCTCTCTTCGTACATCTCTCACCCTAAAGGCATCTGCTGCCCATCTAAAAATCCCTAAGGCTGCCGCGCTCTTTCCTTCCCCTCTGCACTGGCGGCCTTGGCCTCTTCCTTGTGATCGCCGAGCCCAAGCCTGCCCCCCGACAAAGGTCAGGGGACTCCCGTGTCCCCAGCTGAGCTGTCCCTTTCCAGCCTTCTCTTTTCCTCCTCCTTGATAGCTCCTCAGATCCAAGGATGCCCACGGGCGTCCCTCCTTCTCCAGGCTGAGCCCACGCGTGTTGAAGGTGAAGTCTGCCCCAAAAGGCCTCCAGTGCCTCCCTGGGGATGTCCTCTACCCCCCTCCCTCTGCTTTGTCCCATGCCCCTGTGTTCCTCAGGTCCCCCTCACCCTGTGCTCTGTCTTTACTCCAGGACATATCCCTGGGCAGCCAGTCACCCCGCACTGGGTCCTGGATGGACAACCCTGGCGCACCGTCAGCCTGGAGGAGCCGGTCAGTGCCATGTCTCCCCGCCCTCCACAGGGGCCCTGAACCTCCCAGCCCTTTTGTCTCTCCCTACATTACAGCTTCTAGTTTTGCTGGGGTCCCCAGAACCACCAAGTCACTACTCCTATAGGCCCCTGCCTCCCCTGCCCCTCAAGTGGGCAGAAGAAGGCACTGGGGTTTGGACATCTGGATCTCGTGAGCCCGCACACATGGAAGTCATTTCAGCTTTCTCCACCCCACCTCCCTCTTTCCCTCCCTCCCTGGATGATCTGGGCCACCCCCACCCCCACCAGGCAGAAATGGGTCCAGAGTTTGTGGGTCCTGAAGCTTTTCAGGAGCCTCTAAAAAAAAAAAAAAAAAAGCACCAAAAAGAAAACCTTTTGCAAAGTTGACCAGAACATGTGACCCTGTGGACACACTGCTGTCCCTCTCAGGGCCCTGCCACGAAGGCCTGAACCTTCAGCCTCACTGGCTCCTGTGGAATCCACTTCTGGTATCGGGGGGGCAGTGGTCACTCTCCTGATGTCCCCCAGATGTAAGACCACCCCATGTGCTTCTTCTGCAGGACGCTCTGCCCCAGCCTCTTCCCAATCCCGCTCTTCACACGCTTCCAGAATAACCATGCCCCATCTGTTTGTGCCATAATATCTGTGCTGCAAACTAAGAGGGCAGTAGCCTTGATATGCTCATTTTACAGAGGGGCAAACGGAAGCCCAGAGAGCTTGGGGAAATTGTCCATGGTCACACAGCTCTTTAGGCTGGGAGCCTGAGACCCACTAAGGTCTGAACGATTTTAAACCATTGGCTACACCCCTGCCCCTCCTAGAGAGCCCTCTTTGTTTGGAATTTTCAGCCCTACTGTCCAAATCCAGCAAGAGGGAAGGCAGGGGAGCATTGCCATGAAGGCTGAGAGGCCCCCAGAGACCCAGCAGCTCCCAACCCAGGGCCCTCACTGGGATCCCCTAGGCCCATAAGGCCCCCATTCCACTGGTCAAGCACGGCACTGGCCTGAGCTTTGAGATTGCCCTCCCCATCCCCAGGAGGGGAAGGCTGGACACACACTGGGGTCACTCTGCCTCTGGGCCTCCCTGTCTGTCTGGCCTGGGCTGTGACCAAGAGGAGAGCCCCAAAGGGGCTCTGCTTCCCCCACCGGTGGGCCCCTGCCCCCAGGAAGCCTGCCAAGATGGTACAGAAGAAAGAGTAGAGGCTAGGTGTCCCCTCCAAAAGGCAGGAAACACTCACATTTCAAGATGAGGGGTATATATCAAGGGGCAGGGTACCAGGAGGGCAAGAGTAAAGATAGCAGGGGCTGCAGAGGAACAGGGACCTCGAGTATGGCCTTTTTCCCGGTGCAGACCTTTCCCCAATAAAGCAAGTGGCATTCCAGCCTCATGAGCTCATGCTGGAGGCCTTGTGGGGCCTGTGGCCAGGGAGGCAAGGACCATCTGCTCCCCACTTGCGAAGGAAGAACTCCCTCCAAAGACTCTGAGACCCTTGGACAGGGCCCCAGGCCAGTGCATTTTTGGAGAAAAGGAGTCGGGGGTTAAACATTCCGAAGGCGCAGCAGCCTCCCAGGAAGCTCCTGGGCCGGCTCCAACTCTGGGCCCCCAGCCAGGCTGAGTGGACAAGGGGGAAGTGGGGTGTTCCCACAGGGTGGGAGACGCCAAGAGGGTGGGGGAAGGAGAGAGGGCTGGCCGTCCAAGCCAGCCTCCTGACACCTAGCTGAGAGCCAGTGTGCTCTCTTGGCTGGAATGGCGTCCATGTTTACTTCGTGGGTCCAGTGAAGCAGGTGTCGGAGCCGGAGGGACGGGGGCTGCTGGAGGCCCAGGAAAACTTTGGAAGAGGGAGCAGTTTGCCAAAATTGGAAGTGGAGGAGTCAAATTTGAATTCTATAGGGAATGAGCAGCAGCTCATTTGGAAACAAGCCTCAGGTAGCAGAGGCTCTGAGGAGGCCCTGACCATGGCTACCCGATGCCCCCATAATGTCCTCAGCACCCCTCTGTCTTCCCCTGCTTTTGATGCCCCTTCTGGGCATGAAAGAAGAGGGCGGGCCAGGGGAGGGGCACCTTTCTGGGACCTCTGGTCTCTAGGGAGGATGCTGGTGTGCCTGGCAGGCTGTGCCAACGCCCTTCCAAGTGGCTGTTGTCAGGACTGCAAACATCCTGAGTTTGGGAACATCTTTGTATGTTCTCACCTCCTCCACGCCCTCCATAGTATGTGGGGGGTCCTGCTGACTCCCCAGCCCACGTTCTCCCCAAGAACTTCCTCCCCAGCCGGCTCCACAGGCCACCTACTCCCTGGCAGGCAGGAGGCCTGGAGGCCACCATCTCAGCTCCACACATTTTCTTGCCCAGGTCTCGAAGCCAGACATGGGGCTGGTGGCCCTGGAGGCTGAAGGCCAGGAGCTCCTGCTTGAGCTGGAGAAGAACCAGTGAGTGCCAGGCTGGGGTAGGGCTGGGAGGAGGGGATCAGTGTTGGGGGGCAGGGACTGACACAGATCTGTGCGGGTGGCTGGATGGGCAGAGGACCCCAGAGAGGGTGCAGATGACAGGGAGAGTCACGCAGGCCTGTGGTTGGCTCCCTGGAGGCTGAAGAGGACCGCTGAGGCTGTCAGCCCCGCTGTGGGGCACCTCCGCCCTCCCAACCCCAGGAGCGGCTTGTTAGCTCCCTGCTGGCGATGAGTGAGCACCACCTAGTGGACATTTGCAAGATATGCTGAGTCTAAAGAAATCCTAGAGGGAAAAGATGAGCCGGCACCCCAGGCTAAGGGAATGGCAGGGACCAAGATGCGGTGGCTTTGGGAGGCCGAGGCGGGCGGCTCACCTGAGGTCAGGAGTTTGAGACCAGCCTTGCCAACATGGTGAAACCCCGTCTCTACTAAAAATACAAAAAATTAGCCAGGCGTGGTGGCGGCGCCTGTAATCCCAGCTACTTAGGGGGCTGAGACGGGAGAATCGCTTGAACCCCGGAGGTAGAGGTTGTGGTGAGCCAAGATCACACCACTGCACCACTCCGGCCTGGGCAAAGAGTGAGACTCCGTCTCAAAAAAAGAGAAAAAAAAGAAAAAGAAAAAAAAAAAGAAAGAAAAGAAAAAAGAAAAAGATGCAGTGGCTACACTTGGGGGCAGCAGTTTGTCTGACCTGCCTGGAAGGTCTCCATCTACAGGGAGGGGAGCAGGGGGGAATGAATTTGGAGAGTCCCAGGAGGGCCAGATCACAGAAGGCCATTTTGGTGCTCAGTGTCCTGGACCATCCAGAGCCAAAGATTTTGAGCTGGGGAAGGGACAGGCAGACCTGTGCTCAGGAAGGTGCCTTGGGCTGGGTGGGGTGGGTGTCCGGGCTGGAGCGCAGGCTCTTAAAACCACCCAGATTATGTTATCAGTATATATCACCTACTGAGTGCTTGACCGCAGGCGCTGTTCTGAGCACTTGACACGTATTTTATTCTCCCTCGTGGAGTCGGATGGACAGGGAACAAACTCTAGTTCCACTGTGCCCAACCATATTTTCCCGACGTCCCTACCCTTTCAATGGGGTGGTCACATCACCTACCTCCTAGGGTGGCGGGTGTGTGTGGGGCAGGGGTAGGGGGCAGAGCTGGGGCAGGTGGTGGAATGCCTGGGAGGGGGGAAGCAGCCATCATTAGCGGGTGGTCTGGAGGTAATGAGGCCAAGGTGAGGTTGGGTTAAGGATTTTCTTTAAAGAAGACAGATTGACTTATGATTGATCCATCCGTGTGGGAAAGATCCTGTTGAGATGGAGCCTGAAGATGGAATCATTACCGGAGTGGGTGTGGAGAAGGCAGGGAGGGTGGAAGCAGCGTGGGCAGGTGGCGATTCTGTTTTCTCTGGAGGCAGGGGGTGAGCATCAATCACTGAAGGACAGGTGGGAGGTATGTGGGGTCTAGAAGTCTGAGGAAAATATTTCAAGGATCTAGGGCAGGTGGGGGCAAGAGGGTCGACCAGATGCCCAACAAAGGAGGGCAGCAGGCAGGGGAACTGGGGGAGGTCACCGCATTTCCCCAACTCCAAGTCCCATTCTTCGGCAGTGTCTCCTGACTCCTCCCCTCCCGATCCTGTGGATCCTGCTGCCTGCTGCAGGTCCCCTGGGAACCACAAACTCTTCCCCTATTCCCACTCCTCCCCGGCGTCCTCCCTGGTGCTTCCCATATTCACACCTCCCACAACTAAGCCATCACCAAGGCTCCTTCCTCTAGCCCCAAGAGTTTCTGATCTGAGCAAGTCACCATTGCTCCTGTCCCTTCCCTAAGACACACTGTGAGTGTCTCACTCATAAAGCTGCTCCATTAGCATTTAGGGAGGAAGGCTGGGAGACATCCTGGAGGAGGCAGGAGGAAGCTGAATTCAGTGTTCCCTGTAACACCCCCTCTCAGCAGGCTGCTGGCCCCAGGATACATAGAAACCCACTACGGCCCAGATGGGCAGCCAGTGGTGCTGGCCCCCAACCACACGGTGAGATGCTTCCATGGGCTCTGGGATGCACCGCCAGAGGTACCCCCCCACCATTCCTACCCCTACTCCTCCTTGCATTCCTAAGGGGCGGTTGGAGCCAGCCCCTACCACACCCTCCCTCTTGCCCCTCTTGCTCCAGCCCTGGCTGAGATTTGGGGCTGGCCCCTTCCTCCCTAGGATCATTGCCACTACCAAGGGCGAGTAAGGGGCTTCCCCGACTCCTGGGTAGTCCTCTGCACCTGCTCTGGGATGAGGTGAGCTCTGGGAGAGGAGGCTGGGCCTGGGATGGGGAAAGAGCTCCCTCACACCCGCTCCTACCCCTCTGCACCCTAGTGGCCTGATCACCCTCAGCAGGAATGCCAGCTATTATCTGCGTCCCTGGCCACCCCGGGGCTCCAAGGACTTCTCAACCCACGAGATCTTTCGGATGGAGCAGCTGCTCACCTGGAAAGGAACCTGTGGCCACAGGGATCCTGGGAACAAAGCGGGCATGACCAGCCTTCCTGGTGGTCCCCAGAGCAGGGTCAGGGGCATCGATCGGATGGGAGTGGGAATGCTGTATCTATAGCCCTCCAAATCAGAAGAGACGGGAATTCACAGGCCTCGAGTCCCAGTATTTTTATTGAAGTCTGAAGAAACAAGTTCCAGAAAACATGTTAAACTTCCTTCTGGGAGCTGGGATTGGTGGTCAGGGCTCAAGCCCAGCAGCTTCCACTCAGGGTCCCCATTTGCACCTCCGCAGGGCAGGCGAGAAGCGCGCAGGACCCGGAAGTACCTGGAACTGTACATTGTGGCAGACCACACCCTGGTGAGGAGAGACCCCAGGGGTTGGCGGGGTCAGGGATGGGGCCAGCTCAGCCCCTCAAGCCACCGGGATTTCTGCCTTCCCAGTTCTTGACTCGGCACCGAAACTTGAACCACACCAAACAGCGTCTCCTGGAAGTCGCCAACTACGTGGACCAGGTTGGGGGCGGCGGGGAGAGAGCGGTGATGGGGGTGGCGGCGGCAGGACAGGCAGGTGCTGGTGGGGTTTGGGGAAGAGGAAGGGCGCCCCACGAAGGACCACCGGCGCGATGGGGCGCCCTGTCCCGGCTTCAGCCCCGCCTCGCCCTCAGCTTCTCAGGACTCTGGACATTCAGGTGGCGCTGACCGGCCTGGAGGTGTGGACCGAGCGGGACCGCAGCCGCGTCACGCAGGACGCCAACGCCACGCTCTGGGCCTTCCTGCAGTGGCGCCGGGGGCTGTGGGCGCAGCGGCCCCACGACTCCGCGCAGCTGCTCACGTGGGTGCCTCTGACCCGGACGCGGGTCCCGGGTGGGGCGGCCTCACCTCCCGGCCCCGCCTGGTCACGCCGCGCTCCGCCCCCAGGGGCCGCGCCTTCCAGGGCGCCACAGTGGGCCTGGCGCCCGTCGAGGGCATGTGCCGCGCCGAGAGCTCGGGAGGCGTGAGCACGGTGAGCCCCGCGGGCGGGGGCGAGGGAGAGACAGGAGGCTCTACGGCCGCAGTGACCGCCCTCCCACGGCCCCCCAGGACCACTCGGAGCTCCCCATCGGCGCCGCAGCCACCATGGCCCATGAGATCGGCCACAGCCTCGGCCTCAGCCACGACCCCGACGGCTGCTGCGTGGAGGCTGCGGCCGAGTCCGGAGGCTGCGTCATGGCTGCGGCCACCGGGTACGCGGGTGGGGGGTCGGGGCTGCGGCGGGGCGGCTAGTCCTGGGGACTTCCTCCGCTGCGTTTCTTTGGTCGTCCCTCAGTTTCCTCTTCTGTAAAATGGGGATAATGATCATAGTGTCCGCTTCAGGGTGGTTTATGAGGCTTAAAGGGAAGAAGCTCAGGCAAAGTGGATTCTCAACGGTATGAAGATTATTTTCCGAGTAACCTGGCGAGGTTACTCCTACACCGGGAGGAGCACCGTCGGGTCGCGATTCCACCTTGGGTCCCGGGCTGCTCACTATTGGGGCCGCATCGTCCCCTGTCCCGCTTGTTGTGTGACTTTGCGCGGGTTACTTCCCCTCTCTGGGCTCTGCGCGTCTGGCGGCTGTAGCCAAGCCCAGGGGTGGGGATCAGAGAAGCGCGGGGGTTGGGGGACTGTCCCTCCATGCCCAATGCCCTCCCCGTGCCGGTAGGCACCCGTTTCCGCGCGTGTTCAGCGCCTGCAGCCGCCGCCAGCTGCGCGCCTTCTTCCGCAAGGGGGGCGGCGCTTGCCTCTCCAATGCCCCGGACCCCGGACTCCCGGTGCCGCCGGCGCTCTGCGGGAACGGCTTCGTGGAAGCGGGCGAGGAGTGTGACTGCGGCCCTGGCCAGGTTAAGTCGGCTCGCCCGGCCCCCACTTGCCCTCTCCGCTCAGGTCTGGGGCGCTGCGCCCTCACCTGGGCCCTTCTTGCCTTTCTGGTCCCAGGAGTGCCGCGACCTCTGCTGCTTTGCTCACAACTGCTCGCTGCGCCCGGGGGCCCAGTGCGCCCACGGGGACTGCTGCGTGCGCTGCCTGGTGAGGGCATGGAAGGTTCAGGGTGAGGGTTTCGGGGAGCTTGGGAGCCGGCCTGTTGGCCTTAGTTAATTGGTGCCCTCAGGTTCCCCCGTTGGGTGCTGGGCTTGGGTAGGCCTGGCTCCCCCAGCTCCGAGCCGCGCTCTCGGCATGGACCTCTCACTGCACGTGGCCTCTCTCTGCCTTCCCCACCACCCGTCACCTGCGCAGCTGAAGCCGGCTGGAGCGCTGTGCCGCCAGGCCATGGGTGACTGTGACCTCCCTGAGTTTTGCACGGGCACCTCCTCCCACTGTCCCCCAGACGTTTACCTACTGGACGGCTCACCCTGTGCCAGGGGCAGTGGCTACTGCTGGGATGGCGCATGTCCCACGCTGGAGCAGCAGTGCCAGCAGCTCTGGGGGCCTGGTGAGAGGACACGAGCACCCTTGCACCCTGCCCCCCATCCTCTGGTGGGGCCAGTTTTCTACTGTGGGGAAGATGGGCAGGGGAAACTGAGGCCCGCTGAGCGCAGCCCCTCTCCGAGCTGCCCCCAGCCTGGCCCATGCTTCCTCAGGCTCCCACCCAGCTCCCGAGGCCTGTTTCCAGGTGGTGAACTCTGCGGGAGATGCTCATGGAAACTGCGGCCAGGACAGCGAGGGCCACTTCCTGCCCTGTGCAGGGAGGTAGGGAGTGGAGCTGAGTGGAGGGAGCAGAAGCTATGGAGTGGGTTTGGGGAAGGGGGGTACTGCAGCTGTTGACCCCCCTCTACTTCCTCCCCAGGGATGCCCTGTGTGGGAAGCTGCAGTGCCAGGGTGGAAAGCCCAGCCTGCTCGCACCGCACATGGTGCCAGTGGACTCTACCGTTCACCTAGATGGCCAGGAAGTGACTTGTCGGGGAGCCTTGGCACTCCCCAGTGCCCAGCTGGACCTGCTTGGCCTGGGCCTGGTAGAGCCAGGCACCCAGTGTGGACCTAGAATGGTGAGCTCTGCCCACCCGACCCCTCCTTGCCGTTTGAATCCCGCAGGCCAGTGTCCCCCTCACTGCCTGGTGCACTGCCCGTAGGTGTGCCAGAGCAGGCGCTGCAGGAAGAATGCCTTCCAGGAGCTTCAGCGCTGCCTGACTGCCTGCCACAGCCACGGGGTGAGAGCCCGAGGAGTGGGGGTGACCTTGGGGTTCCTAATCCTACGTGACCCTCCTCTTCTCTTCTCTGCAGGTTTGCAATAGCAACCATAACTGCCACTGTGCTCCAGGCTGGGCTCCACCCTTCTGTGACAAGCCAGGCTTTGGTGGCAGCATGGACAGTGGCCCTGTGCAGGCTGAAAGTATGCCAGTGGGGGGCATGTGGGCAGGAGCTGGGGTGGTGCACCTGCTCAGGACTCAGCGCCCCTTCCCCCAATCCCCGCAGACCATGACACCTTCCTGCTGGCCATGCTCCTCAGCGTCCTGCTGCCTCTGCTCCCAGGGGCCGGCCTGGCCTGGTGTTGCTACCGACTCCCAGGAGCCCATCTGCAGCGATGCAGCTGGGGCTGCAGAAGGGACCCTGCGTGCAGTGGGTAGGCTCCGAGCGCCTGCTTCCTGAGCCTACTCCTGCGGTTCCCCTCCTCAGAGCTCTGCTGGGGCTGTGGGAGCTGGGGCAGGCCCTCAGCCTTGCCCCCAGGTGCAGAGAGCAGCCCCAGAGGCCATGGAAAGAAGTAGCTTTGAACAGGAGGTTCCAGTGGCCTCCCAGTCAAGCGAGGGGGTGGATCCCTGCCCCACCACCAGCACCGCAAGGCATGGCCCTCTACCTCCCAGTACAGCTCCTCTTGTCCACTCTCCTGCTTCTCCCACCAGCTGGCTGCCTCACCCTTGACTTCGCCCTGTTTTTCCCTGGCTCAGATTGCAGTCCCTGTACCATGCTGCCCCCGGAGGCCTGTCCAGCCTCTGTCTCACCAGTTTTCGGCCCTTTGCCACTTCCTCTGCACAAATCACCTCTGTCACCCCCTTGAAGTTCCCAAATGCTGGGCCCAGCACATCTTTTCACTCCATACCACTGGTCAGCTGCGGTGCTGGCTGCCCCTGTGCCAGGGCCCTGCCTTAACCCAGTTCTCTGTGACCTGGGTGGTGGCGGAGTGGGGAGTCACATAATACTAAGCATGGCTGTCCTAGGACTCACCCTGCACCAGGGCCCTAGGCAGGGCAGGCACTCTGTGGCCATGTCTGACATAGCCTGGTCTTGGGAGTGCTCCGGGCAAGCCAAGGGAGATGGCATGATTTGGGCCAGAGATGGGGGCAGAGGGCATAACAGACAGGGGCAGGGCACCACCTGGGCCCCGGGTGGCAGCTAAGAGGACCCTGACAAAGCGAGTTGTGATTGAGGGTCTGTGGGCAGAGGAGCAAGGTGGCCAGAGCCTGGCGTGTCAGCACGGAGGGGGCGCTGCAGAGGGTGGCGGCTGCTTCTCATCCCCAGGCGGGAGTCTCAGGGCAGGGGAGAATGTTTTGAAGGAACATCACAGGAAATGACAAGGCCTTGGGGGATGGGATGGGGACAGTCAAAGATGGCTTGGAATCATCAAGGGCAGCAGGGCACCCAGGGGCAAGGAGAGCAGACATAGCTGCCGAAGGGGCGGACATCCAAGGTTCTTTGGAAGCTGAGCGATGCCAGCATCTGGAGAGTGCCAGGCTGCTGTCAGAGCCTGGAGGAAATGTTAGGACTAGAGAGAGGAGGTGCCAGCCGAGGGCATGAGGCTCACTTGGAGCCTGGATCCCAAGGCTCCCCTGAAGAGGGAGCAGGAAGGGAGCTGAGAGGGTGACTTGGAGCAGATGGGTGCCCCAAGAAACTCAGTAAACGCAGAACTCCCTGGGCTGGACACCATGCTGCGGGGAGGCAATAACCCACTCAGGATCACTGTGCCAACCTCCTGGACTCTTATCACGTTGCTCAGCCCCAAAGATGGCCCACACAGGGACCACCCCCTGGGCGGCGTTCACCCCATGGAGTTGGGCCCCACAGCCACTGGACAGCCCTGGCCCCTGGGTGAGTGAGGCACCAGGGGGAGGTGGAGAGGGAAGGGAGAAGGGAAGGGCTCATGCCTCCTGCCTCCTTCCAGATGGGCAGCACCCAGTCACCTTGAGTCCCCTATGCCCCTCCCCAGCCCCAGGGGCTCCTGCTGACCATATTCACAACATTTACCCTCCACCATTTCTCCCAGACCCTGAGAACTCTCATGAGCCCAGCAGCCACCCTGAGAAGCCTCTGCCAGCAGTCTCGCCTGACCCCCAAGGTAGGCAGGGACCTGGATTCAAAGCCTCCCCCTCTCATCGCCCACCCTCCCACCTCTCCCACCCCTCAGTTTGCTGCCCCCTAATCAGGTTTCTGGGCTCAGGTTATTATGGAAATGAGTTTATGACCTCTTGGTTATCATGCAGACCAGGATGCTGGAAGCCCCTGGGCTGGGGAGGGAGAAGCTGTGGCTTTTCCTGGATCACTGGTCCTCACTGAGTGAGGATGGGCTCTCTGCCACACAGCTTGCAGCCTGGGGCCCCAGTCCTTAGGGGACAACATATCCTCCTCATTCTCAGCAGATCAAGTCCAGATGCCAAGATCCTGCCTCTGGTGAGAGGTAGCTCCTAAAATGAACAGATTTAAAGACAGGTGGCCACTGACAGCCACTCCAGGAACTTGAACTGCAGGGGCAGAGCCAGTGAATCACCGGACCTCCAGCACCTGCAGGCAGCTTGGAAGTTTCTTCCCCGAGTGGAGCTTCGACCCACCCACTCCAGGAACCCAGAGCCACATTAGAAGTTCCTGAGGGCTGGAGAACACTGCTGGGCACACTCTCCAGCTCAATAAACCATCAGTCCCAGAAGCAAAGGTCACACAGCCCCTGACCTCCCTCACCAGTGGAGGCTGGGTAGTGCTGGCCATCCCAAAAGGGCTCTGTCCTGGGAGTCTGGTGTGTCTCCTACATGCAATTTCCACGGACCCAGCTCTGTGGAGGGCATGACTGCTGGCCAGAAGCTAGTGGTCCTGGGGCCCTATGGTTCGACTGAGTCCACACTCCCCTGGAGCCTGGCTGGCCTCTGCAAACAAACATAATTTTGGGGACCTTCCTTCCTGTTTCTTCCCACCCTGTCTTCTCCCCTAGGTGGTTCCTGAGCCCCCACCCCCAATCCCAGTGCTACACCTGAGGTTCTGGAGCTCAGAATCTGACAGCCTCTCCCCCATTCTGTGTGTGTCGGGGGGACAGAGGGAACCATTTAAGAAAAGATACCAAAGTAGAAGTCAAAAGAAAGACATGTTGGCTATAGGCGTGGTGGCTCATGCCTATAATCCCAGCACTTTGGGAAGCCGGGGTAGGAGGATCACCAGAGGCCAGCAGGTCCACACCAGCCTGGGCAACACAGCAAGACACCGCATCTACAGAAAAATTTTAAAATTAGCTGGGCGTGGTGGTGTGTACCTGTAGGCCTAGCTGCTCAGGAGGCTGAAGCAGGAGGATCACTTGAGCCTGAGTTCAACACTGCAGTGAGCTATGGTGGCACCACTGCACTCCAGCCTGGGTGACAGAGCAAGACCCTGTCTCTAAAATAAATTTTAAAAAGACATATTACACTTGGACCTTGGTTAGTCTTTTCTGTATGTAAATTCAACCCATGGGGTGCCCTGAGGACCACACGGGGTGGTGGTTGGCGGGGTGGTGGTTGGTGGGGTGGTGGCTGATGGGGTGGTGGCTGACGGGGTGGTGGCTGGCAGGCCGAGCCTAGGTGGCAGCCAGAGCCCCAGGCATGTGTCTGGGCACAGGACGGTGTTGCCTAGTTTGAACACCCTCTTTGCTCTGTCACTCCTGCTTCCCTTGGGCGTTCACATTCTCCCATTGCTTCATGCAAGAGCTGCTGAGTGGCCTATATCAGCCAGCTGTTGCCGCATAACAAAACCATCCCAAAACTGAGTGCAGGGAGGCAACTTCACCTCGGGCTCCACTCCACAAGCCCAAGGGGCCAGGTGAGAGTGCTCTCTAAAGCCCCCTCCTGCCTCAGTTGTAGTTGCAAAATTTTAATTTATGAAGGTGACTGATGACACAGAGGCCAATGCTGTTGAAATAAGTTATTACTCACAGTTTCCCACCATGCAGGGCCACAGTGGGGAGGCACTAGGTTTGGTCCAGGGACAGAATCAGGAGCGAGTGGAAGGCACAGGCCACAGCCCACAGTGCCGTTTCCACTGGGGAGGCAAGGCAGGCCAGGGGAAGAGGGTAGGATTGGCATTTTGAATCATTCTGGTGGGGTTTGGGGCGTGGGGTTGGGCTCTAATTGTCTGGGTAGGTGCCTGGCCCTGAGCTGGTTTAGGGCAGGGGAAATACTGGTTTCGTATGTGAGAGTTCCTTGAAGGGGGTGGTTGGTGTATGGACTCAAGACTGGTCGGTTTGCATATGAAAGGCATGAGTTGTTTCTGATCTCCAGGAATCAAGCAGTTTCTCTCCAGCCAACAAGCCCCCACCCCGAGATGTTAAACCATCATAAAATAGAGAATCTAAGGCCAGGCATGGTGGCTCACGCCTGTAATCCCAGCACTTTGGGAGGCCAAGGCGGGAGGATCATTTGAGGTCAGAAGTTCGAGACCAGCCTGGCCAATGTGGTGAAACCCCATCTCTACTAAAAATACAAAAATTAGCCCGGTGTGGTGGCACGTGCCTATAATCCCAGCTACTCGGGAGGCTGCGGCAGGAGAATTGTTTGAACATGGGAGGTGGAGGTTGCAGTGAGCTGAGATCGTGCCACTGCACTCCAGCCTGGGCAACAAGAGCAAGACTCCGTCTCAAAAAAAAAAAAAAAAAAAAAGAGAGACTCTAAAAATACACGTTAATATACCTCCCCCGCTCTTACCCTTCAGGAGGGGGTGTCTAGACCCCGCGGGACTCCAGCTACAAGGGACCCTGGGGAGGCCAACTCTGCCCTCTTGGCTATTCCCCAAGACTGCCCAGCACCCCCTCCACCCCTTCTCCATTCAGTGGCGAACCCTGGGGAGGCCACGTGGGAAGGAAAGAGGGCTCTAAGAGGGGAGGCCCCAGACTGGGGGAGAGGCCTGTCTGGAGCCCAGGATCACCTGGCTGTGCTGCAGAACTGGAGAAGAGAAGCTCAGCAGAAAGGAGCTGGCATGGGGCCAACAGCAGAAAAGCAGGAGGCACGCAGAAGTGACTGGGAAGCAGGAGGGTAGGCATGGACCCTGAGGCTGAGCAGGAGGTACTGAGGGGCAGAGTGGACGCTGAGCTGGGGGTAGCGAGCGAGCCCAGCTCAGCTGTGACGCCCTCTGTTTGGCCACCCAACTACCAGCTACTTGGGCTGCCCCGGGAGGAACTGGGCTTCCTCTGACATTCTGTGGCCTGCGGCCATCTGTCACACCTTCTTCTCTCTCTGCCCCTCCCTTGACTTGTGGCACCCACAGACAGGTGGGAGAGTGTACCTGCCCTGTGTGGTCAGAGCTTGGTTTTGAGTTTCCTTCCCTCACCCCTCTTTCCTCCCACACGCCAAAACACAAGAGGATGTGTCAGAGGCCTGTGAACCAGAGCAACTCCATCCTGAATAGGGGCTGAGCAAAATAAGGCTGAGACCTACTGGGCTGCGTTTCCAGACAGTTACAGCATTCTGCGTCACAGGATGAGATAGGAGATACAGGTCATAAAGACCTTGCTGATAAAATAGTTTGCAGTAGGCCAGGCGCGGTAGCTCACGCCTGTAATCCCAGCACTTTGGGAGGCTGAGGTGGGCGGATCACCTGAGGTCAGAAGTTCGAGACCAGCCTGGCCAACAAGGTGAAACCTCATCTCTACTAAAAATACAAAAACTAGCCAGGCATGGTGGTGTGTGCCTGTAATCCCAGCTACTTGGGAGGCTGAGGCAGGAGAATCGCTTGAACCCAGGAGGTGGAGGTTGCAGTGAGCTGAGATCGTGTCACTGCACTCCAGCCTGGAGCGAGACTCCGTCTCAAAAAACAAAACAAACAAAAAAATCAGCTTGCAATATAGAAGCTGGCTAAAACCCACCCAAACCAAGATGGTGATGAGAGTGACCTCTGGTCGTCCCCACTGCTACACTCCCACCAGCGCCATGACAGGTTACAGATGCCATGGCAGTATCAGGAAGTTACCATATATGGTCTAAAAAGGGGAGACATGAACAATCCACCCCTGTTTAGCAGATCATCCAGAAACAACCATAAAAATGGGCAACCAGCAGCCCTCAGGGCTGCGCTCTCTATGGAGTAGCCATTCTTTTATTCTTTTACTTTCCTAATAAATGTGCTTTCACTTTATGGACTCGTCTCAAATTCTTTCTTGCACGAGATCCAAGAACCCTCTCCTGGGGTCTGAATCTGGACCCCTTTCCGGTAACAGATGTCGTAGAGTGAAGCACAACCACTGCAGGGGCATCTTGGTTTACATTTTGCTTCAGCGGCCATGGTTAGCACAGCGGAAAGCACATCACAGTCTTCTGATTCATTAAAAAAATTAGGAAATGGACCACCACAAACCACAGACAGATGTACTGAGACAGGATAGGTAGTCAAGAAAGTGACCATGTTCTAGGCGCGCAGCAGCAACTGTGGTGACCGTACAGTCAACAAGCCTCAGCACTGGCATTGCAATTGAGCTCATTCAAGCAAAGCTATCTTCAGCAGGGACTTCTCCCTCTAGGCAGCAAGCGCATTTTTATTTTACCTGTCCTCAAACTGATCCTTTGCTCCTTATAATAGTAAGGAACACACCCCTGTGTGGAGATTTAAGATGCTAATGAGGCCAAGCGCAGTTGCTCACGTCTGTAATTCCAGCACTTTGGGAGGCAGAGGTGGGCGGGTCACTTGAGGTTAGAAGTTCGAGACCAGCCTGGCCAACATGGTGAAACCTTGTCTCTACTAAAAATACAAAAATTAGCCGGGCATGGTGGCGGGCGTCTGTAATCCCAGCTACCTGGGAGGCTGAGGCAGAAGAATCGCTTGAACCTGGGAGGCGGAGGTTGCAGTGAGCCAAGATCGTGCCACTGCACTCCAGCCTGAGGGAGAGAGAGAGCAAGACATCGTTTTTGTTTGTTTGTTTGTTTGTTTGTTTGTTTTTTAAAAAAAAGTCAAGACAAATCATAGTGGGGGCTTTTCTGGTCACTTTTTAAATCTTAGTGTTGAGACTTTATTTGAGACAGGGCCTTACTCTGTTGCCCAGGTTGGATGAGATTTTTAACCTCAATATTTACTTATAGAATAACTTTTTGGTTAGTCAAAACAATGCTGTGTCTCATTCTGATCAGAATAAAACATCAGACAACTCAAGAGAAACATTCTGCAAAATAACTGGCCAGGATTCTTCAAAAGTGTCAAGGGTAAAGATAAGGAAAGATGAAGGAACTCCCAGATTGAGGAGAATAAGGAGACAACTGTGATGTGGGATCCTAGAATGGATCTTGGAACAGAAAAAGGACATTAGTGGAAAAATGAGAAATGCAAAACAGTCTACAGTTTCGTTAACAGGATTGTACCAAGGTTAGTTTCCTAGCTGTAATGATTGGACTATGATTAAGTAAGATGGACCATCAGGGGAAGCTGGGTGAAGGGTGTAAGGAAAATGCTTACATTTTCCAACTTTTCTGCAAGTCTAAAATTAGTCAACAATAAGAAGTTTAAAATAGGCCAGGCATGGTGGCTCACACCTGTCATCCTAGCACTTTGAGAGGCCGAGGTGGGAGGATGGTTTGAGCCCAGGAGTTCAAGACCAGCCTGCGCAATAGAGCGAGACCCCAACTCTATTCAAAAAAATTTTTTTAAGTTTAAAATAGAATTATATAAAAAAGGAAAAGAAAAATGCTGTTTCATAGCGTTCCTAGTTTAGCATGGGAGAGACCAGGTCTCCCTGGGTGGTTGTCTGTGTGTTGCTGGGTGTGCGTGGCAGGGCTAGTGTGTTGGGGTCCGTCTAGGCACATTCAGGCGCCGAATCCCGTGGCTCCCAGGTTTACCTGACGGTGCAGCCTGGGGTGGAGACTTAATGAGGGCGGGGAGTTGCTGCAGCAAAGGCTCCTCCCAGGGGTATCAGCGCAGACAGCTGGGTTTTCACTGTGCTCCTGCTCCAGAGGCACTAGGAAGGGGGCGCCTATCAGACTAGGGCTCTGCCAGCCATCCTTCTCTGTTGAAGGTCCAGCATGGTCCGCTGCCTGGGGCCTGCGCTGCTGCTGCTGCTGTTACTGGGTGAGCGCCCCTCTCTTCCCCTGGACCCCGAACCCTGGCCTCTCTGTCCCTGCTCCTCAGTGACAAGGTGGGAGGGCAAGATATTCCAGGAAAAGCTGAACCACAGGAAGGGTTGCCAGTGAGAGGCCTGTGCGCACGGCTTGGGGACCCCTGGCAATTGACCCCACTATGTGCTGAGCACCTCACCTCCCAGCCCCGTCAAGCCACCACCGCCATCCCCCTCCCGAGTCCAGCCTTGGCACCCGTGCCCCAGGAACTTTTGCCTATTGTCTGCCATCTCCCAACTCTCTCACCCTCCCCTCAGCCCCAGCCCTCCTACCCATCACACAGATTCCTTGGTGAATCTTCGGTGTTGTTCATCTGTTGTTCCACCTTCTTGGACTGCTCCGTCCCTGCATGGATGTCGCGGAGGGAGGGGTCACTTTACCGAGTGTAGTGTGGAAAGTGGAATCTGGTAAAGGTTTAAGGTGGAGGAGATCTTGCAGCTGAGATGAGCTGCTGTGAGGGTGGAGACTGGGTAAGGGTGTTCTGGGCAAGGGTGACAGGTAAGCAACAGGCAGAGGTGGGTTCAAACCCTTAGGCAACATCAGGTGCTGGTGTGTGCAGCTGAGACCTGAGGATGTGCCTGGCAAGGCTGTGAGAGGAAAGCAAAGTGTGCCCTTTGGGGAGGGGAGGAAGGGAGGACTCACCCCGCTGCCATCTATCCCCTCCACTCAGGGACCATTCTAAGCCCTCGAGCTATGTTCATCCTTCCTGCAGAGGCAGGTGCTGAAGTCACAGCAGGAATCACTCTCACCACGCGGTCCAATCCACAGCCTGAAAGACACAGCCATTGCCAGAGAGGCACCCTGCTCCCAGCCCTGGGGGGGGGATACCACCCCGTAGCCCCTGTGCACAAACACACAGGGAGATGGATGAGGGGCCAGGCTGTGCACGTCCACTCAGGCTGGGCACCAGAAAGGCTTCTAGTCTGAATGAGATGCTCCAGACTGGAGAACTTGTGGAGGCTGGGGGGGATTCGATTAGCCTGGTTTTTGTGACTCAAATCCTGGGAAGGGGCTGCCAAGTCCCAACTTCCAGTTATCCTGGCTCTATTTAGACACAGCCTGTGGGCATGTGGGCAGAGCTCACCCTCTGTCTACCCAACCCCTGGTGTGTGACTGGGGTGCCAGGCACCTTCTCTGTCTCCAGCAGGGTGTCACCTATCATGGGGCCTGGTCACTAAAACCACTGATGAACCCTTGGGTCCTGTGGCTCAGGACAAAGCCCGGCGGTGTGTCGTCAGGGACTTCTCTGAATCCACACCCTGGCAGCCAGGACTCAGTGGGTTCTTCAGTGGCCAGAGCTCTTGCATGAATCCGCTCTCCCCTGGCTGATGAAGGGTGGAGGGGCTGGAGGAAGCCAGTGCAGATGGGGCAGGATGACCTCGACTCAAGGGAGCATCAGGAAGGGCTGGAGAGGGGAGACACCCATGCAGGGGGCAGGAGGAGGAGCAGGAGGTCAGGAAGGAGGGAGAAACAGAAATCAATAGACCCACCCAAAGGGTCTCCATGGTGGAGGATAAGCGGCGAGGTGGAGGGGGTAGAGGAGGAAAGGTATGGCGTCACAGCCTGTCATTAAGAGACTAGGAGCAGCCACTGTCTTCTATGCCATCTCTGGTTTTAAAGTCTCCATTGGCCAGATCCCCAGAAAGCCTCATTGTTCCCCCGTCAGGTAGTGCCATTGAGTGTAGGAGGAGCCCCTGGACCCGTCTTTGGACGTGTGTGGCCGTTCTGGAGAAATGGTGGCGATGCTTGGGAAGGAGGGGCTTCAGCTTTTGGGGAAGGCCTGGCTCAGCCTCCATGCTCCCTCTCCATCCCTGACGTGTTGCAGAGCCCTCCAGAGCCCGCCGCTGCCCATCCCCACGACGGAGAGCCGATCAGTGCCAGTCGGCCCCGCCTTTGGGCCACACTCTATGCTTTCTCGGGTTTTCAGTGTCCCCCACCTTCCAGGGGCGTGGATGGGCTGGGTGAAGTGTGCATGCGGGGCGCACTGAGACCTGCAGCCTCCCCGCGCCTTTCCCAGGGTCGGCGAGCTCGGTCGGAGGGAACCGATGTGTGGACGCGGCCGAAGCCTGCACGGCGGACGCGCGGTGCCAGCGTTTGCGCTCCGAGTATGTGGCGCAGTGCCTGGGCCGGGCTGCGCAGGGGGGCTGTCCCCGCGCCCGCTGCCGCCGGGCCCTGCGCCGCTTCTTCGCCCGCGGGCCGCCCGCGCTCACCCACGCACTGCTCTTCTGCCCGTGCGCGGGCCCCGCGTGCGCCGAGCGTCGGCGCCAGACCTTCGTGCCCTCCTGCGCCTTTTCGGGGCCCGGCCCCGCGCCGCCCTCCTGCCTTGAGCCCTTAAACTTCTGCGAGCGCAGCCGGGTCTGCAGGTGCGCGCGGGCGGCGGCGGGGCCGTGGCGAGGGTGGGGACGGGGCCTCTCTCCGGCTCACCGCCCTCCCGCCGCGCAGGCCTCGCCTCCTGGCCTTTCAGGTCTCGTGCACCCCAGCGCCCAGCGCCCCCGACGGCTGCCTGCTGGACCAGGGCGCCCGCTGCCTGCGCGCCTACGCGGGCCTCGTGGGTACGCGCGGCCGGGATCCGGGCGAGGGCGGGGGTTCTCCAGGGGATATCTCCGCCCGGGTGGGCCGATGACTTCGCCCTCAGGGTCCCCGCAGGCACCGCCGTCACCCCTAACTACGTGGACAACGTGAGCGCGCGCGTGGCGCCCTGGTGCGACTGCGGAGCCAGCGGGAACCGGCGTGAGGACTGCGAAGCCTTCCGGGGGCTCTTTACCAGGAACCGCTGCTTGGGTGAGGGGCCCGGGGGGGAGTGGAGGGGGAGTGGGGGCGGCGCTTACTGCCCCCTCCCAAGCCGCCTGGCTGGGAGCCATTTTAGAGGGGAGAATGGAAGACTGTACAGTTGAGTCACTCTGTCACAGCTGTGCTTATTATTTTGTTATTCCTCACCACACACCTTCTGTCCAAGGAGCCAGTCTTTGCAGCAGGGGGTCTCTCACTTTGTCCCCTGTGCTGAGCCCTGTGCTAGGGTTTCCCAGCTAAGTCCACCCTGGACCCCTCCCTCCATAGATGGTGCCATTCAGGCCTTTGCCAGCGGGTGGCCCCCAGTCCTGCTGGACCAGCTGAACCCCCAGGGAGACCCGGAGCACAGCCTCCTGCAGGTAGGTGCAGGGAGGGGAGGGTGAGCTGGCACCTCCCCCACTGTCACCTTCACACCCTTCCGTCCCTGGTGGGCCTGGGTGGAGGCATGAAGGGCCTGGGGTGGGGGTGCAGGCAGAGGGCAGAGACAGGCTTTTGCCTCAAGTCTGCACTTGGCTCCCACCCCCAAGGTGTCCTCCACAGGCAGGGCCCTGGAGAGACGCTCCCTGCTCTCCATACTTCCTGTCCTGGCTCTCCCGGCCCTGCTCTGATTAGGACAGCGACCTCGGATAGCACAGCCAGCTACTCCACCCTGCCTGCCTGGGCCGCCTCTGTGGCCTACTGGCCCCTTGAGAAGGGGCTGGCTTACCCCCCAAGCCGGCCCTGGTGCTTTCACTCCGCTGCCCTTTGTAGGTTTGGACACCCTGTGTGCCGTCCCCTGGGGCAAGGGATGTAGGCTGGGGCCTGACTGTAAAGCCCCCGTCTCCCTGTCAGGAGGCATCTTGGTTGTAAGTCCCTTTATTCACAGACCTTGAGACCACTGGGGTCTCCCACAAGGTGGGGTCAGGAGAGGGTCACTTTTGTAGCTGAGACCTCTCTGGAGACCCAGATCCCCTAGAGCAGGTCAGAGACCATCCAGAATCCCAGAATTCTAGGAAATTGTATCAGCCTCCCAAGCATATAACCCCCTAAGGAATCCATCGGACAAGACCCCGTCTAACACTGCATCCTCCCAACTGGGCATTACCCACCATTGTAGCCACCTGTGCGCCATGACCATGCTGGCAGAGTCTTTCCTGTTCCCCATATGCTGCTTGAGGGGCCCCACCCTGTGCCCTGCCTGGCATTGGCCCTGTGGCCATCTTCCCCCTGGTTTCCTGCAGCTGTAGGAATAACATACAGTGCTTATTAAATCTGTGTGCTGAGACTGACCTTGCTTTTATGTGGTCTGTGTCCTGGGAGCCTGGAGACCAGGGTCTACCACTGGGTGTATCCCTGCTGGCCTGTGTGACCTCCAGTGGCCTCAGAACCTGTCTGGGCCCCATCACCTCACCTAAGGAAGCTGAAATGAATCAGCTCTCACTTCCTCATGGCAGGGATTCTCATTGCTTTCGTCTCTTCTTTCTCCACTAGTACTCAGATAATGAAACTGCATTTCCCAGCCTCCCTTGCAGCTGGACCACGTCACACACACTGCCCAATGTGGACCCAGCAGATGCTAAGAGCATTGATTTTTTTTGTCTGTTTGTTTTTGAGACAGGGTCTCACTCTGTCACCAGGCAGTAGTGCAGTGGCATGATCATAGTCCACTGCAGCCCTGAACCCCTGGGGTGAAACGATCCTCCCGCCTCCTGCCTGCCTCCTTCTTCCTCCAAAGCTTGGAGACTTCTGATGAGGAAAGGGTTCCTGTGTCTCTAGCGGCTCCTTCTCAATCTGCTTGAGGTTTGGCAGGAGGTTGAAGTGGAGGTTGTGGGGGCCTTGCTCAGAGACCTCTCTGGGCCAGTGCAGCGCATCCCCCAGCCCCTGGAAATGGTGGCTGGTAACACAGCTCAGAGCTGTCCCCTTCTCTAGGGAATTGTACTCCCAGAAATGCCTGTCCACTTTTACTCTGCTCCCAGAGGCAACTGCAGCCAGTGACTGCCTCAAGGGACAATGCAGTGTGCTGTTCCTGCTCCAGAGCCCCTGTGGGGTCAAGCTGAGGCTAGACTCCAGCAGGGACCCCCACCTGGCTCAGCTCCCGCCCCTGCCCGCCTCCTCCAGCTCTCCTCACTGGCAGGTTCCCCCAAAGGCATTCCCTCAGTAAATCATGGCATTTGAGAACTCCTGTCTTGGGCTTGGCTTCTAGAGATCCTGACCTAAGACACAGCGGTTAGGTACAGACCACACCAAAACTCAGGCCTGGAGCTGTCCTGATTGGAAAAAGAGCCACCAGCTCTGAAATCAGGTGTGGACTTCGCAGCTCACATCAGACCCACAAACACTGCTTGCTGACAGCTGTCCACCAGCCTCTCAGCTTCAGTCAGGACTCCCTTTTTTTGAGTCAGAGCCTCGCTTTGTTAGCTAGCCTGGAGTGCAGTGGTGCAATCTTGGCTCACTGCAACCTCCACCTCCCAGGTTCAAGCGATTCTCCCACCTCAGCCTCCCTAACAACTGGGATTACAGGGACATGCCACCATGCCCGGCTAATTTTTGTATTTTTAGTAGAAACGGGGTTTCACCATGTTGGTCAGGCTGGTCTTGAACTCCTGACCTCAGGTGATCCGCCTGCCTCGGCCTCCCAAAGTGCTGGGATTACAGGCATGAGCCACTGTGCCCGGCCAAGGACTCTCTTGACTGTAACAAGCAAATCAGAGTGGCTTGAGCATGTGCCTGAGCCATGTGGGCTTCAGGCACAGCTGTCTCCAGGGGTTCAAATGATGTTGCCCCTGCTGGTCTGTGCATTGGTTTCCCCTGCAGCCAGGCAGGCTTTCACTGAGAGTGTAAGATTGCCACCAGCAGCCCCAGTTTGCAGTGTCTCCTTTTAGCAGCCTCAGTAGGGAAAGGCACCTCTCTCTTCCAGCATTTATGGACTGTCCCAGGCAGAACCCTGATGGGGCCATAGTAATGGGCCTCTTCCTGTAGCTCGGTGAGTGATCTCAGCCCATGAAGGTTATATGGAATGGGAAGGACAGTTTCCCAAAGGAAAAAAAGGAGTTGTTGGGCAGTGAAGCCGAGTCTAGCCCATTCTCACTTTACGAAGAAGAGGGAATCCTCTAAGGCCCCCACACCTGCGTGGGAATGGACACGTGTAAGTGGGCTGGGGAGAGGCGGGGTGTGTGTGTTGAGACAGGGCTCATCACCTTGCCCCGCTAACCACAGCGGCATGGTAGCCCAAATGCAGAGTTAAGTATCGGCTAAATGATTCGCCTTACATGAAAGTGTATTCAACTATTCTCCATTTTTGACTCAGTTAATTAGAGTAAAATATAAGCATTGAAAAAAAAAAAAAACTGGAGGAAGCCGAGTGCAGTGGCTCACGCCTGTAATCCCAGCACTTTGGGAGGCTGAGGTGAGCGGATCACAATCACTTTCTTGTTTCCGGGACACAGGGTGGAAGGGAATTCTTGCCAGGCGTGTTATACAGCCAGTACCTGCAGGGCTGCATGCAGGGCGTGTGTCGTTCAGATGTGACCAATACAGATGCCAGGAATGACATGGCTGTTGTTGACAGAATTTGTCAAAATGATGACCAGCTGGTGATAAGTTTTAAGGAAAACGAAGTTCAGTTTTCCCTTGATGAACACAGTAGTTGCATTTCTGGAAAGCTGGCTGTATATTAAACCAGCTCTCAAATACTTTGTGTTCACCAACATGGTGAAACCCCGTCTCTACTAAAAATACAAAAATTTAGCCAGGCGTGGTGGTGCATGCCTATAATCCGAGCTACTCGGGAGGCTGAGGCAGGAGAATCGCTTGAACCCGCAAGGCAGAGGTTGCAGTGAGCCGAGATCGTGCCACTGCACTCCAGCCTGGTGACAGAGCGTGACTCTGTCTCAAACAAAACAAAACAAAACACAATAAAACTGGAGGCTGGGTAAGGCGGCTTACTCCTATAATCCCAGCACATTGGGAGGCCGAAGCGGGAGGTTTGCATGGGGCCAGGAGTTTGAGACCAGCCTGGGCAACATAGAGCCTGTCTCTAGAAAAAATTAAAAAATGAATCAGCCAGGCATGGTGATGTGTGTCTGTAGTTCCAGCTACTCAGGAGGCTGAGGCTGGAGGATCACTTCAGCCCAGAAGTTGGCTGCAGTGAGCCATGATTGTGCTAGTGTATTCCAGCCTGTGACAGAGTGAGACCCTGTCTCAATAAAAAATAAAAACCAGAAATGAAATGACCTCAAATAAAAATAGAATTGTGGATTGAAAATATAGGCATATGCTTTCCAAAAGACTGGAAAGATAAAAAGGACAGAACCTATTTGAAAATTATGAGATTGCTTCATGGCTGTCAGTGGTCCCAAAGATATGTCCACATCCTAACCCCTGGATCCTGTAAATATTACCTTATATGTAGGCAAAAGAGTATTACTTTCTGTGGCAAGAGATGTGATTTAAGTTATGTTTTATGTTTTTTTTTTTTTTTTTGACAGTCTCACTCTGTCACCCAAGCTGGAATTCAGTGGTGCAGTCATAGCCCACTGCAGCCTCAAACTCCCAGGCTCAAGCAATCCTCCTACCTCAGCCTCCTGAGTAGCTGGGACCACAGGTGTGTGCCACCACGCCTGGCTATTTTTAGTAGAGACAGGGTCTCCCCATGGTGCCCAGGCTGTTCTCCAACTCCTGACCTCAAGTGAACCTCCCGCCTTGGCCTCCCAAAGTGCTGGGATTACAGGCGTGAGACACTGCACCCAGCCAAGTTACAGATCTTGAGAGGAGCTTATCCTGGATTATCTAAGTGGGCTCTCAACACCTGTATGTCGCACCTCTGCATCTCATGAGAGTGATGCAGAGGTGTCTACAGGGAAACTAAACACAGACATTTTGAGCAAAAGACCAGGGGAAGACAGAGATAGGGATTGGGGTGATGCAGCCACAAGCCAAGGAATGTCAGGAGCCACTGGAAGCTGGAGGAGGTAGGCACAGATTCCCCTAGAGTCTCCAGAGACTACAGCCCTGGCAACACCTGCATTTCAGACTTCTGGTCTCCAGAACTGTGAGAATCAGTTTCTCTTGTTTCAAGACACTGAAGTTGCGGTAATTTGTTCTGGCAGCTCCAGGAGACTAATAGCACTGTCTAAGATCATTAGAGTTTGGTTTCCATTACTCTACCTAAAAAGGTCCTGGTTTATACACGGTGTTAAGTCTGGCCAAGCCTCAAGGCTGAGTCCAGCTGTGGCCCCCATGACCAGGAATGGGTCATGCGTTGTTCCTCCACATCTGAATGTCAGCCTCCTTGTCCTGCCAGGGCGCTGTCGGTTTTGTGCATGGGCTTTGGGAGACTGCAGTCCTGCCCCCACACTGCCCTCCTGTGACTGGGTCTCTGTTACCTGTTGCCTGGCAGGTGGCTGGGAGTGGAGGTGATGCGAAAAGGCAGGTGCTGGAAGCATCTGTGGATTTATTACTGGAAACTTCACGGCTCATGAATGTCCATCCTGGTGTGGAGCCCGGTGATTAGGTGCAAGGTTGAAGTGGAAACCACTTACCGCCCACTAAGCGAGTCAGGCCGGGCCATGCTCACAGAACCAGCTCATTTTTGCATGAAATGTGGACACGGGTTGGTGGAATTTCCAGAGGGCCAGGAGGACAGGGGCTGTGCAGGGCTTTAGGAGCAGTCTCTCAACCAGACAGCAGCTTGCCAGTGAGCCTGGCATGCTTGTGAGCTGAAGCAGAAAGGCACAGCCCTGCCTTGCCGGGCTGCTGGGAAGCCCTGGATCGGAGGATGTCTCGGGAAGCTGCTCTGCTGGGGGCCTGTCTCTCCACACCCAAGCGAACCTTCAGTTCAAGGCAGAAGAGAGAGAGAAAAATTAAGATGAGGACACACACTAGAAAGTAAAACACACACAAACTCAGAAATGGAGTCTTCAAGGGGCAGGAACCAAACGTGGAAGGAAAGGCTTACAGGGCATGCCAGTGGGCCCTGGCAACTCCATCCAGCACATTTGAGATAGCCATCGGGATCTTCCGGTCTATGGCTTTCTTGTTTCCAGGACACAGGGTGGAAGGGAGTTCTTGTTATACAGCTGGTACCTGCAGGGCTGCAGGGCGTGTGTCTGTTCAGACGTGACCCATACAGATGCCAGGAATGACACTGCTGTTGTTGACAGAATTTGTCAAAATGATGACCAGCTGATGATAAGTTTTAAGGAAAACGAAGTTCAGTTTTCCCTTGATGTACACAGTAGTTGCACTGCTGGAAAGCTGGCTGTATATTAAACCAGCTCTCAAGTACTTTGTGTTTATAACTGGGTTAGGTTCTCCACGCAAACAACTGGGAATGGACTTTTTCATTCTCAGAAATATCCAGCAGGCCTACCAGGCATGCTGCCCCCTCAGGGCCTCTGCACCTGCCATCCCTGTTTGGAATGCTCTTCTCCCAGACCTCCACATTCCTTCCTGCCCCCTCCACTCATCGTTCTGCTCAGCTGTCACCTTAGCAGAATGGCTTCCCCTGGCCACACTATGTTAAGTAGCAATCCCCCCAGCACTTTCTACCCCTAACCCTACTTTTACCTTTCTTCACAGAGCTTATCTGACATTTTATTATCAACTCCCCTGGAGGACATGGAGTTTTCTGTTTTGTTCATTGCAAAATCTCTGATCCTGACACAATGCCCTAGCCCTGATGTGCTCAATAAAAATTTGTTGAATAACTAGGTGAATAAATCTAGAGAATTAATTAATTCACTTAAGCAGCATAAAACAAGATACCTAATTCTACTACCTTTGGCCTATAGTGCTCTGTTCCACAAAGTCATTCAGGGACCCAGTCTCCTTCAATCCTGTTGTATTACCATCTTCACCATAAGCCTTCAAGGTTGATGGAGACAGTGGAGGAGACACTGTTACTGTGAATGGCCTTGAAATGACACATCATTGGTGAGGGCTGGTCCCAAGGCATCTGGGTAGATGCCACGGGCCCAGGCCATGCAGTCGAAGCTGTGGACTCAGGAAGAGGAAATGTGTGGTAAGCATCTGGCCCAGTTTGCTATTCTGATCACCAAAACCAGTTTTGTGCTTCCTCTCCTACATGGGTCACAGGCACCCTCTCCTAGGGGGACAATACGAGGTCACACCCCGCCCAGACCTCCAGGTGATGCAGCCTCCCTCAGGTGGCTCTTTGAAGTCCACAATCCTGAATTAACAAGACAGCTTAATCCACCTCCCACCCAGCAGGTAGTGATGAGAACAGGCAGGACACCCTCCTAGGCCCTCCTACCCAGGAAGGAGCGGGTGCAGATGCAGCAATTGCTGCTCTGCGGTGTTTTTGCAATCCTGCTGGGCCCTGTCCTGGGCTGGGGGGAGTCCTCGCTCAGGCCCAGTTCTGCTCTTGGGCCCACATCTGAGCTTGTAAAGCCCTCGCTGGACACAGCTTTCACAACCATTTTCCTGCCTGAAGGTGGATTTAAGACTTCCTCAATTGCCACCGTTTTTTTTTTTTTTTTTTTTTTTTTTTAAGGCTTTGCTAATGGTTTCTTAAATTTACTACATCTTTATTTATTTCCAGGCAGGTCCAGGGTCAGTGACTACATTCATGGTTTGTTCCTGGAAACAGTTCTCATGTCAGCTTTTTCTTTGCTTCCTTAACCACGTGCCCCTCCCTCAAGCTGGTGGCTTTGCAGTTTCCATGCTCCAGTGGGAAGACCACACCCTTCATTGGATGGTCACCATGAGGCCCAGTCACTGTGTTCAACTAAGTCTCATGGGGCCTTTGTTGCTCACCTGCACCTCTTACTGGTTGGAGACTAGAAGCAGTTGGCTTTTCCAGAATTGCAAGGCCCTGGTTAACATCTTTCCATCTTTTTCCCTTCTGCTTGTAAACTGGCTAATTCTTTCTTGAAGTAAACTTTTTCTCGTGATGCCTCGCCAAAAGCAGCCAGTAACAATCAACACATATTTGTTGTTGTTGTTGTTGTTTATTCCCCTCAAGTCAAAAAGTCAGCAGACATGGAGTTTGTTTTCCGAGTTATCGAGTGAAACGGCCTTACCAGATGTTTTGCTCCGCCTGGCAGGGACCTCAGTTGTCCTGCCAGCTGCACCTGTCTTATCACTGCTCGCCACCTGGCCACACGCTGAGCCAGTGCCATGTACTTAAGGGTTTGGTTACATGTGCACTGCACTTCAAAGTGCTGATTTGTATATTAGTGAGAATAAGAAAAGCTAACTAGTGTAACAAAGCCCCAAATCTCAGTGGATCAGCAGAGTGAGTTTGCTTTCCAGTGATGCAAAGGCCAGCACAGCTCTTACTGATCAGGCGGCCGGCCTCTAAGGGGTGACTCAGGGACCCACAGTCCCTCCAGTCTTTAACATGTGATCCGTAGGAGAGTCCCCTGTGGGAGCATTTGTGTGCCACGTTTGGAATTGGTGCCCATCACTTCTTCCAACCTTTCCTTGGCCATGGCTTAGCTTGGTCCCAACCTAACTGCAGGGAGGCTGGGAAATGATGAGCTGTGGGCCCAGTAGGTTTGGTAAACACAGCATTGTCTCTGCCACAGTACCACCAAATCACAGGGTTTCTATCCTGTTACTGTTGGTGGCTCTCATAACCCTCCCTGGAAGAGTTTCAAGGTCCTTCTCAACTTGTTTGCAGCCACTAGTCCAGCCATTTCCCTCCCTAAGCCAGACCTGAGCTCTGGTAGGCAGGCCTCCTCCAGGCTCCTGCCCTCACCTCAGGCCCTGGCCCTAGTACCCTGCCATCTTCCCCTACAGGAGTGACCGTCTTGTGTTTCCTCCTTCTTTCAATGACCTCATCCTTCTGGAAGGAACTGCTAGCACTGGGAATCTGCACTCTGCACTGAAATACATGACTCTGACCCATTCTGAGGGCAGGAGCCAAATAAAAGGGGGCAGGACACACAGGAGGCCCCCAAACAAGGCCTTGCCAATGGGAGTAACTTCCTCAAAACTTCAAGGCCGAGGAAAACACTGGCCACGGCTGAGACCTGTCAGCACACCTGAGATTTAGCAGTTTGGAGACAACCTAGAGGACATTCAGGAGCCTGTGAGGAGAGCGCAAAGTGGAGGGATAACAGCACCACTGGAGACAGTGGTGTGGTTAGTGGAGCAGTGAGACGGCTGTCCATACCTCACTGCTCAGATCTGTCCCTGCCCCCACGGGCCCAGCTGCCCTGTAGGCACACAAAGGCTGTGTGGAAGGTCTGTGGCTCACAAGCTGCCTGGAGGGCTGTCTGAGGTACCTGCCAGGGGTTTTCACCCTCACCTCCGTTAACTGTCAAGTGCTCCCTCTGACGCAGTCTGAAAACTGGTAAACGCTTTTTTTTTTCCCTTAAGGTTCTAATGACCAAAATGTAAATATAGGCAAAACAATGCAAAATCAAAATGAAACACTCAGAACAAAAGCCACATTTTTACCAGATCTACTTTTATTTCAGAAGGAAGTTTGTATTATAGTATTTACTTTTGTTTATATACAAGTTCTTCACATTTGTGTTTAAAATGCACAGACCTCCCTTAGTTCTCTTGTTCCTGCTTAAATTAGCTGTTATTTTACAATACAAAAAATACCAAAAAATTGCAGTCCTAAATGTATGTATAACACCCACAATCCCCGCGATGAAATAGTTTACAATACTTACTCCATATTTACATGAGTGTAATAGATGCTAAATTATACATATTAACAAACTAAGCTTGAATCCAAACAAACGAAATCGTAAATAACTATAAAACAAAAACATTTCCAGAGCCAGAATTAGTTCAACGAAACAGGCTTCACTAGTGTTTAGAATGTTTTGTGCACAAATTCAGTTACTGAAAATCAATTCCATTACTGCCTTTAAAAGATGAGGTGCCAATTTTCCTCTCCATTTCAAAACATCTCCTTGTAGGCAGGGTGTTTGACTCTCATCAAGGGGCAATATCTCTTGGTGGGCCTGGCTATCTAGAAACCACCGCAATGGCTGGAGCCAAGTTTGGTCAATGGGGTAAACATTTCAGAAGGTAGGCAGGGCATGCCCTGAGGCCAGGAGGCCTCTGCCGTCCTGGCTGTGTCCTCAGGATGGCCAATTCTCACAGAAACCACCACAAGGAAAGATCTCCTGGGATGACAGGGGTGTGAGGACTTGGATTTTGTTTTAATTCTAAAATCTATTTTTACATCTCAGTCACTACCCTAGCATTAGCTTAAGTTAGTGTTTAGCAAATACTTGTTGAATGGATGGATGAATAAATGAAATGGAAGGATCAAAGATGTTCATGAAAACACCACCATCTCCCAAGGAAGTGAATCAGCCCCTGGCCCCAGTACACCCCATTAAATCAAAGGAGCAGGATTTGCACTGGAAGGTAAAATGCCTCTTCCCACCAGCAGTGCCCTGCTCTTTTTATTTCCCAGGTGTCTCCAGTCTTGAATGGCAGGACTTACCCACGGGTAGTCCAGTACTTTCCTTCTGCTGACAGTCTTCTGTCCAGGACTGCCTTTCCTCCGGGTTAGCTCAGGGGATCTGGGGTTGCCTTCTCTCCACACGGGGAGGCACAGGCTTCTCCCCAGGCTGTGTGCAGGGATGGCAGGAGGCACACAGGAGTCCAGGGTATGTCAAATTCTCCATGGGGAAATGGGAACTATTTATCAACAAACTAGCTCCCTACTCCCACCCCCAGTTTTCAGTATAATAAACTGATTCCAGGAAATGGTCATTAAAAATTTAGACAAAACTACAAAAAATGGAGAACCCCCTTTTGGAAAGTCTGATTGCTACAGGTTAGTCTTTGAACTTAAAGACTAAGAGAAACATTTCTCAGGACAAGACTGGTCATCCCTCACTACCCAGAGCACCAAGAGGCTGCCAGAAAGGGTCATGATGTGCTTGCAGGGCCAAGGGCAGCGGCAGGGACGCCTCTGCTTCCTGAGTCTCCTCCAGCACTGTCGTTTCGATTCCCTGCCTGATTTTTCATGTGCACTCTGACAGATGAGTCCTGTTTTAAGAAATACCTAATTGGTGCCAGATGCATCTGAACACATCACACAATGGGGATGCGTTTCTTGGGTTTGTTATTCATGTATCGGGGCCTGGCGAGAACCTGGATATCCAGCATATGGCACAAAAACATCTTAGGTGAAACTCAGACATTGTTATATTTAATAAAAATACATGAAGATTTTTTCTGTTTTATGTACACTCCGAATGTCTGAACATTCTGGACACTACTGTATAGTTATGTACAAGTGCAAGGTCAGTGTTGTCTTGACTATTTTAATTTATATACAGGCTCTCTTGTGACGCGCAACACTGCCAGATGACAACCAATTCCTTCTTGGAAACAGGCTCCGAGCCCAGCGCCTCTTACTCCCTGCCATTCCCTTTTTCTGCCCTGAGGCCGGAGAAAGCTGTTTGCTGTCGGTTGCAAAGGAGAAGCAGGTGGATTCAGCGGCTTCCCCACCGCTGGAGCAGAATGAAACTTCACTTGCTCCTTCCTTCCTTTTTAAAAATAAACATTATCTTTTAGGAAAAAAATAAGACATAACCAGATGGCTGTGGGTCATGGTGCATGATATTTCAAGGCATAGGACTAACATGGGGAAGAGACTTCTTTGGCCTAGGAAAACTGGTCCTTTGAACAAACAAAGAGGATCTTCCTTGTAGGAGGACAATACCCAGGGGCCTCCCTTTGGCCTTGCTGGGGGGGCCTGTGGGAATTAAGGGGCCAGTCCACTGCAGGCGCCATGGGTGCTGTGTTCTGTAGCAGGGATGGGGGAGCTCATGAGAGGAGGGGTCTTTTCTAGAACGTCTGGTCTTTAACAGTAATGTGAAAAAGAAGCTTTATGAGAGGTGAGTCTCAAAGTAGAGGTGTTCTGTGCATCAGATAGTGTTTTATGGTTCAAATTCCTTGAAAACATCTTTCCAGGCAATTCTTCATGGGAGTGGGGTTAGTGTTGGGGAAGAGACAATACTCTCTCTCTAGGCACTGCATTTAAAGGTAAAATGCTGCAGTTTTAGCTCTTTTGAGTATCTCTCCAAATTCACAAACTCGAGCATTGCTGTCCAGCGGTCCATCCCAATAGGGTAATGCCAGAGATCCCAGGTTTTGAAGCAGAAGAGAGCTTCTGGGAGGCTGCTGCATAATGCCAGAATACAGAGCACCATAAATGGGGAAAACACAATTTCCAAGCAGTGCCCTCTGGGAGAGGAGCAGGGGACTGTCCCACCCTCTTAAATTTGGTCATTTTCCATTTGGCAGAGTTTTCCCTCCTCATCCATTTTTTTCCATGTGCTTTTCATCCTTGTCAGCATTTGCTGCCCTCCTCACAGCCACCACCTTGGTCTGAGAGGGAGGGTGGGTGGGTCGAGCCCCTCCTGGGGGAAAGAGGGCAAACAAGTCCTTCTCCAGGCTTTGGGCAGCTTCTGCCTGACAATGGGAGGCTGTCCCTTTCCTGGCATCTGAGTCCACCCCAGCCTGAGAATGAACCACAAGTTCAGAGGAGGCTGCAGGACACACAGATGCTCTCTGATCCAGGGGTCCCAAGTGCTCTCAGTGCTCTTTTCTGCTCAAGGAAGCGTGACATGAATGAGTCCTTTCCTCTGATCGCTTATCAGGCCTAGGGTGACACGGGGGTGGGGGCAGGGGGCGCCTTCTTGACAGTGTCCTTTTTGATAATAAAAACAGGAGCTTTCACAGTTCATTCATTTCTGCTTTCCTCTCATCCCTGCTGCTAGATCAAATGTTCCTTGGGTGAGAAAATTCTTTCCTGGCTGCAAATCAGATTTTAGAAAAAAAGCAGATTGCCAATGGTAGCTATTTAAATTTTACAAGAATGTAGGAATGCAATTATGTAAAAACTTAGGCTTACTAACTTTCCAATTGCTAGATCTATTTAAAGTCTAGGCACTTAGTGTTGTGTGTATGTGTTTGTGTGTGTATGTGTGAGAGAGGGAGGGTGAGATGGAGAAGGAGAGGGACAGGCAGAGAGAAAGGAAGAGAGAGTTTCAAATGGATTAAGACTAAATTAATCAAGTTACTATAGAAAACTACCTATTATACCAGTTTACATTCAAAGTAACACTGCTGACCTTGACATTTAAAATAGCCCCCCTTCTATCCTAGCTTGATATGATCAAAAGAGATGGACCATTATTAATTCTCAACTAGAAAAAAAGGTACTCCCTGGAAGAGAGATAATTGCCTAAATCGTGCAAGAATAAATAGCACATCTTTTAAAAAAGATAGCAGGCTTCAGATGAAAACAATTCATCTGACTAGTTTTTAAAAGACCATGTTCAAGAACAACTGATGACGAATGTCTACTTGTAAACACTCCATCTTTTGTTTTTTGCACAGTTGAGACAGTCCCAAGAACAGTTTTCCACAGTGAACCTGAGTGTCATTCCTAGTTCTCTCACTGGCTCTACACTGGCCTCCTCCAGCAACCATCAGCTCATCCCTGGACCTGTAATTAAATCAAGTATTTCCTATGCAAAAGTAAAAGGTTAGATGCTGGAACACGGATGGGAGAAACCGTCAAAGAAAGCTTGTGATCATGCAGGTGAGTCAGATGCTTTGAGGGTTTCCAGTCTTCCGTCCCGCACCGCACAGCCATTTCCCCGCCACGCCCTTCCCTGCAGATGGCTCTGGTGTGCCACTCACTAGCTCGTGCGTGGGAGAGTCCCTGGCCCCAGCATCAGATGCAGGTCCCAGGCTGTGCAGGGGGCTGCTGCTTCCGGTTTCTCACGGCTCCTGACTTCTCCTTGTACACTATCGGCATCTGCTGAGAAATGTCCACCAGGGCGCTGGCCACAGCAAGACCTTGGGAGAACCACAGAGAGAACATATGCTGGGAGCAGCTGGCTTTTATTTTGTTTTAAAAAATAATTTAAACATTTATTTTTCAATCCCATGGTGCAAAACAAACAAACCAAAAAACCAGAACAAAAAACCCCCAAAAAGGTACACATACACAGGGAAAAGTCTTCCTTCCACCCTGACCCTCCCTCCGCCTTCCCCTCCATCTGGGTAAACGCTTTCACTAATTTTTATGTATTCTTTGAGGGTATACTTATGCAAATACAAATACACATTCTTCTCCTTTCCCTACTTTTTACACAAAAGGTGCAGTTTGCTTTTCAGCACATCAACCAAGCACAGTGCTCTGCTTGGTGGTGGGAACATATAAATGAGATTGTAGACGTGTGCTAAGTGCCCAATTTCTCCTGCCTTCCTCCAAAAGGAGCCGAGAAACAGCAGCACGCTTTATGACGAGATTCAGATTCACCCCTATCACTCAGTCAGCATTAGTCACTTCCATTCCATACCACGATACAGGCAGGGCAGGCTCTGGGGCCAGGCTTTGGAATAAGCAAGGTTCTTTAACCTCCCTGCACCTCAGTTTCCTCATTTGTAAAATGGGGATAATAGTAGTACAGGGCTAGTGTGAAGAATCAATGAGTGAACTGACAAAGTCTTAGTACCTGGCATGCATAAAGTCTTAGTATCTGGCGCGCAGCAACCCACGATCAATAGCAACTACCCTTTATGCTCATCACTGCCCCGCCGCCCACTTTGCTTTGGGGACTTGCAATCCCATTTTCCTTCCTGTATTGATAACGGAGTAATCTGACATCCATTAGGGAAGGCACGGTTCTGGGGGAGCTGGATTCCTAATATACGTGGGAAATGGCCAGCGCAGGCTCGGAGCTCTGCTGAGACCTGCCAGGAGTTGTGTTAGTGGAGCGTGTTACTTGCCTTGTTGAGCCTGTGAAGGGGAGTGGGGGTGGGGGTAGACAGCTGTAAGTGCCTGGCACACAGTGGGGAATGCTCTGGGAGCCTAGAAAAGGGCACCACTTAAAACAGGGGGTACAGAAGGGGCAGCAAGGACGGCCCCACTGTTGGGTGGGTCTCAAGCATTGAGCAGACCTTTATTAGGTGTTTCAGGTGGTTGGGGCATGTCAGGCAAAGGCTGGAGCAGGAAAGGCTACAGGGCTGCACACCTGTCACCTTGCCGCCCCAGCCGCCACCCTGCCCTCAGGGCACACCAGCCACTGTTTGCTGGGCTGGGCGGTGGCAGGAGACACAAACTGCACTTGAGTGACAGACGAGAGAGTTGTCCTGTCCTCAACACAGGCAAGGCCGAGTTAGGGGCTCAACTCACAGGAATCCCTAGGTGAGATGAAGACAATGAATCCTGGCCGAGCCATGTCGAAAGGCCTCCCTCGTGAAGATACTATAGATCCTAACCATTCTAAAGCTGGGCTGGAGGATCTTCTGGGTCTGAGGGTGCACTGAAGGGACAGTGGAGCTCAGGGCCTGGACCAGTATCCTGGGGCAGCCTTTCCACCAGACACAGGGTGCTCTCTGGCTAAGGTAACCCTGACTCCAGAATCATCTCAACTGAAAGTTGTCTAAAATGATCACATTGAGGCATCCTCCAAAGCACTCTGTAATTAAGCGAGATACTTTCAAAACTGTATTCCATATTTTCTGTCTTCAAAATAGAAGTTTATATAATCATGATTCATATATTTGATGGAGAAGTGTCACATGCATTGGTAAAATATTATGTAGTAGGCTATAAAAATGTTTAAGATAGTTATATGAAAAAAGCAGAATAAAAATTAGATCTATACAATCATTTCAACTAAATTGCTGGCCAGGGCTGGAAAGAACACAGAACAATGAAAATTGGTGGGTTGTGGGATAGCAGAACTGTGCGTGGATTTTCAGACGTTTCCTTTATGTTATCGTTGTGTTTGTGCCTTATATTTAAAACAGTGAAAAAGCAAAAGAAATGCAGGAGGGCTAGAAATACCAATTGAAGAAACACCAGCCCAGGGGAGATGGCTGGAAGTTGTGGAGTGGAGAAGGCAACTGAGGAAGAACATGCAGGGTGAAGGGAGCACACCCAGATTCAGGGGCAGGACAGGGCAAAAGAGACAGGGAAAGAGCAGCAGAGGCAAAGGGGGACCAGAAACTCCGACAGCAAAGGAAGGTGTGGTCAGAGGCATCCACGAGCACTGAGAGGCTGGGGAGGCCAGAACGGTGAGGAGGTCCCGGGACGTCCCCCCAGGAAGGGACGATGACCTCGGGAAAACAGTTTTGGGCATATAGGTGAAAATGGGTTATCTCACTGAATCCTTGCCATGGCATGGGCAGGCACTGTTGGTTATCACCTTTATAACCTTGTTCTCTAGGAAAGGGAAGTATCCCATGCTTAGCTCCCTCACATGCTTAGAAGGTGTCTTTCGCTGGACCGCATCTACTCACCTGACTGCCCAGGAGGAGGGATGCCACCCAGGCCTCGAGGGAGCCTCACAAACACAGAGAGGACAGCGGCTTTGTTGCCAAAACACGGCTCCAGTGCAATGGGTTTGGGAACAGTCTGGCAGAAGAAAACAAAATTACCTTAAGTGATACTCAAGCTTTAATGTATACGGACAACTTAACGGTCATTTGTGCTTATAAGAACCATCAATTTCAGGTATATAAAAAAGGTACATTGCAGTTTTTAAGATAATGAAAAAGGGCAGGAGAGAGCTAACAGTACTCTCTGAGCACCAGTGACACGGGTGGTACTGCTTGCTACCTTCCACTGAGGTCTCGCAGTCCCCTTCCAGAGGGCTGCTTGAACTGTAGGGAAGGGGCCACGCCAAGTGGGTTTCTTCTGGATGCTGTACTTTGGCTCGATTTGAAATTCTAATTCATAACTGTAGGTCACAGGAATGGCAGTGGTGAGTGCTTGGTAGATTTGTCAGATAGTTCTGCATACCTGGCTCAAACACAGATGCAGATATCATGGAGACTTAAAAAACATTCTATTTTGTCTGTCCTTTAGACACTAAGTAGACAAGCCTGCTGGATGTAAAAGCTTGTAAAAGCTGGGTTGGCTGACCAAGTAGATTCTTTGTCTACTCTCTGGATGCATTTGGCTCTGGAAAATATGTTTTCATCTTCTGTTGCAGCCTTTAGATGAGATTTGTCCCCTATATTAGTTTCTTCTCTTTTTCTTTCCTTTCCTTTTTTTTTTTAAAGAATAGAAATGGGGTCTCACTATGTTGTCCAGGCAGGTCTTGAACTCCTGGGCTCAAGCGATCCTCCCACCTCAGCCTCCCAAAGTGCTGGGATTAAAGGTGTGACCTACCGCACCCAGCTTATATTAGTGTAACAAACTACTGCAAACTTAGTTGCTTAAAACAACACCCACTTATTATCTCACAGCTTTAGAGGTCAGAAGTCCCAGCAAGCTCTGTAGGGTTCTCTGCCGAGAGAGACAGGTCTGTTCATGTCTTCCATGAGTTCTGGGGAATTATCAGCTATCTCCTGAGGTCTCTCAGGCTGAAGTCAAGTTGTCAGCTGGATGGGACTCTTAGTTGGAGACTCTGGGGAAGACTCTGCTTTGAAATGCATTCAGGGCTTACGCAGTGGCTCACACCTGTAATCCCAGCACTTTGGGAGACCCAGGAGGGAGGATCCCTTGAGCCCAAGAGTTTGAGGCTACAGTGAGCCATGATCATGCCACTGCACTCCAGTGTGGGTGACACAGCCAGACTCTGTCTCACAAAAACAAAAAAACTTCTGTGGCCACTCCATCTCTAAACCAGGGATGGTGTGTCAAGTCCTTCTCATGTTTCCAATCTCTCTGGCTTCCTCTTTCTGCCACCAGCCAGAGAAACTTTCTGTATCTTAAAGTCAACTCCCTTGTTTCATTACATCTGCAAAATCCCTCTAGCAGTACCTAGAGTAGTGTGTGACTGAATAAACGTGGGATGGAAATCTTGAGGGCCACCTTTAGAATTCTGCTGACTATACCCACAAATGTCATCAGTTTCTTCAGTTTGGCTGAAGAAAATAATTTCCAGTACCACTCTGCTGTGGCACAAGGAACTGACTAGATGGGTGAATGGCAGAGGCAGGGAGATCAGTTATGAAGTAACTGCAAGAATCCAGGTGAGAGACAGCGGTGGCCTAGATCAAGTGGGAATAGTGGCAGAGATGGGACACAGTGGCTGGGAAACATTTTTGAATACGGAGTCAAGATTTGCTGATAGACTGGCTGTCCAATGAGAACATGACATCAAGAATGAGTCAAGAACAATTCCACGATTTTGGCCTGAGCAACTAGGGTGATGGAGGTGTTATGTGCTGAAAGGCGGAAGGTATGTCAGAGGAGCAAGTCTGAGAAATAAACATCCAAAGCTCAGTTTGGCCATGGCCATGTTAAGATATCCAAGTGGGGACACTGAGTAGGCAACTGATGTTTGTGTTGGAGGCTCATGGGAGCAGTCCAGGTGAGAGGATCATGGTACTTAAACCTGTGATAGTGAAGATCACTGAAGAAGTGGGTGTAAAAGACACAAGAAGGGGACAAAGGCAGGGCCTGACGCACACCACTGTCAAAAGATGAAGAGGATTGAGCAAAGACCACTGAGCAAGAACAGCTAGAAGGCAAGTGTGTGGTGTCCTGGAAGAAAATCAAGAAAATGTTTTAAGGAGCAACTAACTGTGTCATATGCTGCTGACATATATCATGTTGTTCAATACTTTAGGCTTGTCTATTTTTTAACCCACAAATATTATTTTACCAGGATAATGTTTGTTTAGATTTCTATATATGATTATACTTTTATTTACTCACTATTCTTTCTTACACTTTAGTCTATCCTCCTGGGGGTAATTTTCCTTCATTTTAGCACATCCTTCAGACATTTCTTTTGTGCAGGTCTGCTGGTGGCAAATTCTCAATTTTTATTCTAATTTGAAGATATCTTTATTTCATCCTTGTTCTCGGAAGGTGCTTACTGGGCACACTATTCTAGGTGGGGAGGTTTCTTTCAGTACTTCAAAGACATTCTCTCACTCTCTTCTGACTTCTGAGAAGTTAGCGGTCAGCTTGTCATTCCTTTGCAGGTGATCTTTTCCCTTTTTTTTTTTTTTTTTTTTTTTTTGCGACAGAGTCTTGTTCTGTCGCCCAGGCTGGAGTACAGTGGTGCAATCTCAGCTCACTGTGAACTCTGCCTTCTAGGTTCAAATGATTCTCATGCCTCAGCCTCCCAAGTAGCTGGGATTACAGATGTGTGCCATCATGCCTGGCTAATTTCTGTATTTTTAGTAGAGATGGGGTTTCACCATGTTGGCCAGGCTGGTCTTGAACTCCTGACCTCAAGTGATCCGCCCGCCTCGGCCTCCCAAAGTGCTCGGATTACAGGTGTTAGCCACCACACCCGGCCTCTTTTCCCATTTTTAACAAAAATTGTGATAAAATACACATAACATTTACCATCTTGACCATTTAAAAATGTACAGTTCAGTGGTATTAAGTATATTCACATTGTTGTGCAACCATCATTACTATCCATCTCCAGAACTCTTTTCATCTTGTAAAACTCAAACTTCGTACCCATTAAACACTAACTCCCCATTTTCCCCTTCTCCCAGCCCCTGTGAACCACTGTTCTACTTCCTGTCTTTATGAGCTTGACTACCACAAGTGTATCTCTTAAAAGTGTAATCATACAATGTTTATTTTTTTGTTACTGGAGTATTTCACTTAGTATGTCTTCAAGGTTCATCACATTGTAGCATGGGTCAGAATTTGCTTCCTTTGGAAGGCTGGATAACATTCCATTGGATGCATAGACCACGTTGTGCTTATCCATTTATCCATCCATGGACACTTGGGCCTGCTTCCACTTTTTGGCTACTGTGAATAATGCTGCCAAGAACACTGATGTTCAAATATGTCTTTGAGACTCTGCTTTCAGTTCTTCTATGTATAAACCCAGATTGCCAGATCATATATAATTCTACTTTTAATTCTGGGGGGAATAGTGGTACTGTTTTCCACAGTGGCTCCATCACTTTATACTTCCATCAACAGTGCACTAACGTTCAGTTTCTCCATGTTGTATGTGATACTTTTTCTCTGGCTGATTTTAAGATGTTCTCTTTGTCTTTGGAGTTATACAATTTCATTATGAGAAATCCAACTTGTTTTCTTTCCTTCCTGCCTTCCCTTTCTTTCTTTAATCATGCTTACAATATGTTTTGCTTCTGGAATCTGTATATTCATGTTTTCCATCAGTTCTGGAAAGCTATCATTTCTGAATATTGCCTCTCCTTTGTTCTGGGATTCTGGAAATATATATGAGTTGGATCTTCTCATTCTATCCTCCATATTCTTAGTATCTATTGTACTTTCTATCTCCTTGTCTCTCTGAGCTGCATTCTGCGTACTTTTTTCAGATTCATCTTCCACTTCGTAAATTCTCTTATGTCTGATATGCTATTTAACATGTAAATTGAGTTTATTTATTTAAAAAATTTCAACAAGTATATTTTTCATTTCTAGAAGTTCCATTTGGTTCTTCTTCAGATCTGCTTGGCCATACTTGACTCTCATCTTTATGATTTCATCTTTTATTTCTTTAAACATTTCATACACAGTTATATTATATTCTTTAGATTTCAATTCTAACATTTGGAGTCCTGTCCACATCAATCATCTGTTGTTTCTGCTACTCTTATTTATGGCGGCTTGCCTCTTGTCCCTGGTGATCTTTAATTACTTCATCTTGATCTGTGGGACTTCAACAGCGCTGAATTGAAGATGTTTTTCTATAGAGAGGATTTCCATCTATTCAGGTGGGTGTTGTGTTTACCATCTGGAACCACTTAGGACAAATCATGGTTCTGGTTTTGGTTTATGGTTTGTTCTTTTTAGGGTAGGGAAGGAGAGTATTCCCTGGAGATTTTACCTACTTCCTGTGAGCTCAGTAACATTTTAAATAAGTATGTTTTATTCAAGATACATAGCTATTTCTCCAGCGTATCTTAAATATTCCATCATTTTGCCCAAGGAGAAAGTCTTACCATTTTCTTCATCATTTTGGGGAGGGGGGTGATAAATATTTTCCACAGAGTATTAATACACAGTGTATTATCATTTTGCTGCTTAAAAAATTCCCCAAAATATAAAGAAAAATAGGCTGGGTGCGGTGGTTCACACCTGTAATCCCAGCACTTTGGGAGGCCGAGGTGGGTGGATTGCTTGAAGTCAGGAGTTCGAGACCAGCCTGGCCAACATGGTGAAACCCCATCTCCACTAAAAATACAAAAATCAGCTGGGCGTGGTTGCGCACATCGGTAATCCCAGCAACTCAGGAGGCTGGGGCAAGAGAATCGCTTGAACCCGGGAGGTAGATTGCAGTGAGCCGAGATCATGCCACTGCGCTCCAGCCTGTGTGACACAGTAAGACTCTGTCTCAAACAAACAAACAAACAAAAAAACAATGATTCGATGTTCAATGTAGCTCTTTTCAAATAAAAGTTTTGTATGCCACAGAATACTTAAAAGAAAAGCAGACAAATCATTTAGATTTTAAAATCCCCTGAACACAAGACTGCTCAGCGACATGAAACAAAGATTGAAAAACAAAAGCAAAAGAGTACCCAGCAACTTCAGGTTTTAGCTTATTGTTAAAAAGAAAGAGAGGAAAAAAAGGAGGTAATGGAATAGGGCTTTTGCTCTCTCTGGTTTCCCAGACTTAGGAGCCTAAGTTTTAAAAAGTCAAGTTATAGGGACTTCTGAGTCACATTCTCACCTTTATACTCCCCCCAATAAGATCAGGAGGCTCCTCATCTGTTTCCAAGGCGACATTTACAGAGGCAAAGGGACGGCTGGCCATCTGTTGCATCTCTCGAAGAAGTTGCTGATAAATAATATGGCAAAGCCATTAATGGAATGAGTACTGAAGGGGTTTTATTAGTTAATGCTACATGTTAAAAACACCTCATCCTCCCTGATTCAAACAAATCAAGTCCAAAATGATACTTTTTAGACTTGATATTAGATAACATTAGGGATTACTAAATTTTGTTGGATGTGATAACACCATTGTCCTTATATTTTTTAAAAGCCCCTGTCAGAGATACATATTAACGTACGATGTTTATTGCAGCACTATTTACAGTAGCGAAGACTTAGAACCAACCCAAATGCCCATCAATGATAGACTGGATAAAGAAAACATGGCACATATACACCATGGAATACTATGCGGCCATAAAATAAATGAGTTCATATCCTTTGCAGGGACACGGATGAAGCTGGAAGCCATCAGTCTCAGCAAACCAACACAGGAACAGAAAACCAAATACTCCATGTCCTCACTCTTAAGTGGGAGTTGAACCATGAGAACACATGGACACAGGGAAGGGAACATCACACACTGGGGCCTGTCAGGGGTGGGGAGCAAGGGGAGGGAGAGCATTAGGACAAATACCAAATGCATGCAGGGCTTAAAACCTAGATAACAGGCTGATAGGTGCGGCAAACCACCACGGCACATGTATACCTATGTAACAAATCTACATGTTCTGTACATGTATCCCAGAACTTAAAGTAAAATAAGAAAATAAAGATAAAAATAAAAGTACTGTGGATTTAATGCTATGACGTCGACTTGTCAAATACATAAAATGGTGTGGCTCTATCTCCTCGTATTTCTACTACTAAAGTCAGGCTTGCTTTCTTCCTACTGAAACTGGCACCAAGGATTCACAGGACAACAAAAACCTATGCCTCATTATACGGCAGATAGGAACTGAAAGAACCCTTCCTTCAGAGAGGTGGTATAAGCTAAAAACAAACAAATGTGAAATTTTGCAGAGTAGAGGGACAAACAGGGGCTCGGGATTTAGGGAGGCTTGATGTGAACTCCTGCTCCAATAGTCTACAGCTGTGTGACCTTAAGAAAGGTGTTTGAAGTCTCTGGGCATCCGTGTCCTCCCTCTGAAATGTGTTCCTAGCCCATAAGGTTGTCACTGGGATCAAATGAGATACTACAGCACAGCGCCTAGCACATGGTGAACGGCCGTTCACATATCATTAAGGATATTAGAGATCTTTCTGGGCATGATGCTGAAGCTTTGAGGTTATGCCTTGGGATACAAGTAGGCCTTACTTCAAACTGCCTCCTTGGAACTACTGTAGAAGACAGAATCTTGGCCTGGATAGATATGGCTCTGTTCTAGAAGGGCATTTTTATAAATATTTTCTTAAAATACCAACATTCTTACATTTTTTAAAGCTGTAGGTCCATTTACTCGACTAATATATGCAGCAATGCTCCTTGGGGTCTGTGCTTAAGTGCTGGGGTCACAATAAGACAGGGTTCAGGAGGCAACATGTGTAAAAGCACTTAAAACCGGGGCTGGTGTGTAGCAAGGACTAAACAGCGTCAGCCGCTACTACTATTGTTTTTAAAAATAACATCAAATCATTGCTTCTACAATTCTGAGAGGGAATAAATAATGGCTGACATTTTAAAAATGATGAAATATATTCTGAATGGTCAGCTTCACAGTTACAGAGAAATTCCAAATCACACGGGTAAAAGCATAGTTTATTAGATGACCAACTCCATACTAAACACATATATATATTTTAATCTTTTTCCTGTAGGCTGTGCATCTTACTTTCTCTCATGCACACTGCAAACAATTTCCAGTTGATTGTTTAGCTTCTGTGTTATTCATTTATTTTTTGATATACTTAAGCCTTCATTTTTATGCAGGCAAATCTCTACTACATTGTTTTAATAACTTTATATGAAAATAATAATTTTGTTTCCTTTCCAATAGTAACAACACTTCTTAGTGCCCTTTCACTTAGTGCACAGTCTAGAACATCTAGCACAAAGCTGAATGACTGTAGGATTACACGAAGATAACGAACTTGGGCTGTGAAGACAGAAGTCCCTAGTTAAAGCCTCGTCTGCCTCTTAGTTAACTATGTGGTGTAAGTCACTTCACCTTTCTGAGCCTCAGTCCCCTCATCCATAAAACATAACGAGGGACAATACCTATTTCATAGGTTTGAGATAAGGATTAGTTAATCTACGTAAAACCACTTAGAACTCAGTGCCTGGAATTTTTAAATGCTCAGATGTCAGCTCTTGTTAAAACTAACTAGCCTGGATACAACCTCTGGTGTTTGTTTGTTTTATCATGAGTGATGCTGGTTATCCAGATATTCTTCATAGCGTTAAAAAGGTATTTTTGATTTTACTGTGAGTTTTGTTTTCAAATTAGGAATGGATATTGAGTTTCAATAAATGACGAAATGATTTCTGGGCCACTAGGAAGAATTCAGGTGTTATTTTTTCCCCATTGACATGATATATTCTTTTTTTGACATGATATATTCTAATAGGTTTTCTGGTATTAAGTGACTCTTTCATTACACTGCAATTAGACTGCTGCACATACATTCACTATGCAGCTGCCCTTTGTATTTTGGTGCTACCTTTGTCAGGTTTTGGTACCAAGATTTCTGTGTATAAAATCAATTCGGACTCTTTCAAGCTTTCCATCTGTTCCTTTGCTTTACAGATTTTAGAAACAATTAATTCTCATAAGCACTCAGGGAGGAACAGGCTATCATAATCTCCATAAGCTCATCTCAACCTTGAAACTCCCTGGGTCTAATGTCCTTCTTGGAGAGAGTAGCACTCAAAAGTTTTCAACTCCTTTCTTGATAACTGGTTTACTGTGGCTTCTTACTTCTTTCTTACTCCATTGTGAATAAATATACATTTAAATTAAATTGAAAATATAATTTTTTTCAGAACATCACGTAATTCATTAGGCTTTTAAAGTATATCAGTAATACAGTTATCTAAAAAACCCTTTGAATATGTTATCCACTTATTTAAAAAATAATAATAAAGAGTGTGCAACATTCCCTCTATGATAACATCATCTTTATGTGGGTCAGAAAAGGTGGTACTGTGGCCCACAACAAGAGGCCCATATCCTGGAGCCTGTCTTAACCCTATTCAGACATGAATATCCTATCAACAGTGCTGAGTGCTTGTGAGTTGTGATTTTACATACTTCCCTTCTGTTCTAAATCTTATCTATAAATACATTTTTATATAGAAAAAGGCATGAGTAGATCCAAAAAAACCCCAGACAGCTTCTTTGTCTAGATCTTATATACACGTGAGCATTTCCATTAGCAACAATGCCAACAATGCCACAGGCATGACTAAATGAAAGGCAAAGTAATGATGCAAGTGAAAGTTGCAATACACAAAGTTTTTATGTTGTAATTATTTTAATGGTGGTTATTTTTAAAATATTTATTTATTTATTTATTTATTTATTTATTATTTCAATAGGTTTTTGGGGGAACAGGTGGTGTTTGGTTACATGAATAAGTTCTTTCATGGTGATTTCTGAGATTCTGGTGCACCTATCACCCGAGCAGTGTACACTGTACCCGATGTATAGTATTTTATCCCTCATCCCCCTCCCACTCTTTCCCCCGAGTCCTCAAAATCCACTGTATCATTCTTATGCCTTTGCATCCTCAGGGCTTAGTTCCCACTTGTAAGTGAGAATATATGAAGTGTGGTTTTCCATTCCTGAATTATTTCACTTAGAATAACGGTCTCCAATTCCATCCAGGTTGCTGCAAATGTATATAAATATATATATATACATACACACGCACATACACACCCCACATTTTCTTTATCCACTCATTGATTGATGGGCATTTGATATGTTGTAATTTGCAACCAAGTTTATTTATTTAAATTTGTCAGCTGTAAATATTTGCTTATTACTTTTGGAATGAAGCTCTGGAAACAAATCAAGACTTATTTAAAAATAAAACTCAAGTTAAAAACTTAACTACACACACATTTATCTTTCCTTGAATAATGAAAAATTTTTGAGATGCTTAAATGGCTGATTTCCCTCTCGCATGACAAGTTCTCATGAAGGCGGTGCCTAATCACGCGGTGGCTGTGCTAATACGCCCTTGGATCTCTGGCCTCAGTCAGGACTTGGGTTCTGGTCTGAAGGATAAAACTGGCATTTCCAAGTCAATACCAGAGTTTCCTTTTCGGAAGGTAAGACACTGTGGTGCAGAACTAATTACACTTTATGTAGCACTCATCTAAGTCTACTGACCATATGCTGCAGAACCATGGACTGCAGAAAGGGCTGCATTATTCCTTCCGTGGAGATGTCTGTCTGTCCATTATCACTAAATAGCTAAAACCCACTTGCTTAAGAGAAAAAGAAGGAAAAAAAGCTCTTCCAGGGATTCTTTAATCTTTACCCACTGAAGCTTACCTCTCTACGTCTGGAGGCCCAACAACTTTGTTTGATCTTCCAAACCACAGCAGCCACCAGGAGCAAAGAGAGGAAACAACTGTGAGAAAGGAAAGTACTGAGTTATTATCCCAGCCCCCAGAATCAGCTCCCACCGTTGCCCACACCTCAGGCCAGGCAGTGAAAACAGCTCCCACATGCCACCTCCGGGCTCCCTTCTGATGCTTTGTCACAACAATGTGCCGGCTCAGGAGGTAATGAGTGAGACAACTTCGGTAAGCCAGGCTTCCTAACCAGGCCTCTAGACTGTATCGTTCCCATGTGGTATTCAGAGAGAGCCCTGACCTTCCACTTGGCCTTCATCAGAATGGCCCACAGTGGCTTATCCCAAATAAGAAAAATAATTCTAAGATAATTATAACAAATATTAGTCATGCTGTTTATTCAAGTTAGCAGATATTTACTGGTAAAATCTAAGAAGGTGAAAAAGTTAATTATTAAAGTAACAATCAACTTTTCATAAGGAAGAGGCAAACAGAAGAAATGTGTGTAATTATTAGTGTATATTCAATATTTTTACAAATACATATTTTTAAGTAAAATAAAACACATTTGAAATGATCAAACCCAAGCCAACAACTTTCTTAAAAATATTAAGAGAAAATAACTCCCAGTGGCCTTAATAGTTGCAGAGGATTTCAATGCTCTCTCATGTATAAACCAGGTGTGGAATGATTTGAAAAGCTACAGTGATGGCAAAGAGAACAGCTGACTTGCGGTTAAAAGGAAGAATAAGCTTAACAAGTAAAAAAATAGATAACTGCTATAACTGCATTTTTACTCATTAACTTGTAAAAGGGGCTAGCTACAGGGTATTTTTCCAGAGTGCTACATGTAGACATAAGGCTCTCTGCCAGTGTCATCAAGGTACTCTCTTGCTGGCTGAGCTCTGCGTTTGTAGGATGGGGTCAGCTTCATGAATGGCACCTCAGTGCACCCAACTGCTGACACCAACACAGCCCTCCTGGGCTGGCTGGAGAGAGGGACTCTAAGATGCTAGGATGACTGAACTGCCCTTATCTCAAGGCTCACTGCCTCCTCCCTAAGGGGTACAAGGGTGCAGACTCCTCCAATGGGTGCCCTGACAACAGGCAATTCAATAGGATTGCCTTCCAACCCCCCCAGGATCGTCACTTGGTGGAAAGCCTTCATCTCTGGGCCTCTCTGCTATCAGGACACTGCCAACTCTTCTGACAGTCTACATTGTCTTTTTTTTGAGACACAGTCTCGCTCTGTCACCCAGGCTGGAGTGCAGTGGCACGATCTCAGCTCACTGCAACCTCTGCCTCCCAGGTTCAAGCGATTCTATTCTCCTCTTTTAGCCTCCTGAGTAGCTTGGACTACAGGTGTGCGCCATCACACCCAGCTAATTTTTGTATTTTTAGTGGAGACGAGGTTTCACCACGTTGGCCAGTCTGGTCTCAAACTCCTAACCTCAAGTGATCTGCCTGCCTTGGCAAAGATTACAGGCCTCACGTGACTGGCCTACATTGTCTTTTTAATCAATACTTTAATTGGGTCAGGTCCTGTTCTAGGCTCATGGAAAACACTGATAAACAGAGCAAAGATTACTGTCCCATGGAATTTACATTCCAGCAGGTGGAGACAAACAGTAAGTAAATAAGCAAATTACAGAGCATGCCAAAAGGTAGGTAAGTGCTACAGAAATAAAAAGATGCTAAGAGCAAGGGGTTCAGGAGTACCAGTGGCACTCCACAGCAGGATGGTCAGAGTGTGTGGGCCTTTCTTTCTCAGAAGGTGACATTTGAACAAAGACTTGGAGAAGGTATGGGAGGTGGCTCATGGACGCCTGCAAAAGTGCATCTGGAAAAAGGAGCAGTCAGTGCAAAGCCCGAGGCAAGGCCGTGCCTGGGATGGCTTGGGGAGCCTCAGGAGGCCAGCATGTTTGGAGTGGGGTGTGTAAGGCCAGAGACAAAGGCAGAGAGAAGGGTGAGGGTGAAGGGCAGATCATGTGGGGCACTGCAAGCATTATGAGGGCATTGGGAAAGAGCCAGTGCAGGTTTTTAAACAGAGTGTTGTGATTTAACGTTTGCTGAGAAAACCATTAGAGGTGCAATGGCATTATCAGGGAGACCAGCAGTCTAGGTGAGATGATGGTGGCTCAAACCAGAGCTGTGGAAGCAGAGGTGTGAAAAGCACTTTGGAATCTGGACATATCAGTAGATCCATTTTAGACATGCAGAACCCTGAGATATCTACCGGACAGCCCAGGGGAGATGTCCTGGGCAGATATTCTAACCTGGAGGCTGGCTGCCAGGTCTGGGCTGGGCATGGCATTTGGAAGGCATAAGGATATATATGGTATTTCAAGCAATAAACCTGGCCACATTCACCAAGAGAGTGAATACAGATAGATGAGAATGTCCTGGGGCCACCCTAACAATGAGAAGTTGAGGAGAACAGGAAGAACCAGTAAAGAGGTCTGAGAATAACCTTCTCAGTCTTTCTTGGCTTCCACGCATAATCCTGATTTTTGTTATTTTTATTCTAATAGATAAACATAAGGAGGCAGCAAATCCACAAGGAAGAGCATGAAGCCAACGGCAACAGCTTCTAAGTTGGTCAAGAGCCTGCCGCTGCTGCTGAGAGGCGAGGACCCTGGTGTCACTCAGAAACCTCTCTTGGGTCCACCCGTAATACAGTCTGTGCCTGCTTCCCTCTATGCCTCAGGGAAGGTGAGAGGGCCCTTCTGTATTCAGTGAAGATCTGTTGACAACACCAGTTCCCCAGTCCCTTCTACTTGCTGCTCCAGCTACAAGAAGCTACAGAAAAGCAAGCAGAGGAGAGTCTCTTATTTCCCTCTTTAAGGAGGCTCCTTCCTGAGGCTGGAAAAGCATCTCATTAGGACACAGTCTCAACAGACTGTGTCAGGACCTAGAGTTTACTTTTCTGTGCCCGGAGTCTGGAAATATTTTTTCTAACTCACTTTACATTGATTTTCTCATTTGAATCATCGAATTTCCCCCCGACTTTTGTTCTTTTTTCCATATATTATATGAGCCATTCTTCAGAGTGCTTAGGATTATCTGGATACCTTTCCCCTTTTCCTTATAGGCTCCATTTTAAATTCTTTTGGACCAGGCTGGGAGCAGTGGCTCACGCTGGTAATCCCAGCACCTTGGGAGGCTGAGATGGGAGGACTGCTTGAGGCCAGAAGTTTAAGACCAGCCTGGGCAATATAGTGAGAACCCAACTCTACAAAAAAGAAAATATTAGCTGGGCATGATGGTGCATGCCTGCAGTCCCAGCTCTACTTGGGAGACTGAGGTGAGGAGGACTGCTTGAGACCAGCTCAGGAGTTTGAGGCTGCAGTGGGCTATGACTGCACCACTGTGTTCCAGCCTGGGCAACAGAGACCCTATCCCAAAAAAAAAAAAAAAAAAAAAAAAAAAAAAAAAAAAAAAAAAAAAAAAGCTAAATAAATTCTTTTAGACATGGTTAACTTGTCCTGGGAAAATATTTTCTTCCCCATGCCATGAAAGTAACTCTATTCTTAGCTAAAAGTTTATCATCGCTAGTTAGTAAACATCGTCTAGAAAAACCAAAGTTCCGGATTCTTTTCCAGAAGTTCAACCCCCACAAGGGAGAAGTGATGAAAATGCCATCTGTCCTTGTTTACTACACAAGAGGCCATGGGCCTGAAAAGTACTTCCTCGACTTATTCTGATAGTGTCATTCGGTCGCCCAGGGACTGAATGTCCAGTAGAAGTGGCCGGTCCTCACCAGGCTGTACGTACTTGGCAGCAGGGCCATCTTATTCCATACACATGCTCCAAGAATTTAAGGATGTCTACTGGAGCTACAATACAGCCCCTACATCCCTTAAAAGCAAGCCATTGACACAAGCTTTTTTCCCTGAGAGGTTGGTGCCTATGGTTCCTCCTCACTCTGCACTTACCCTGAAGAGTCTAAGTTTACTTCCCACAAATATCTTACTAGATTATGTACTAGATGCTGAAGCTGTGTGTGTATAGGAGTGAACGAGAGACAGTGCACTGCTCCCCTGAAGCTTGGGCTACCGACCCAGATATTAAGCAAGTAAACATATGAATATATTCTTCAAATTGTGATGAATACCACGATGAAAAATAATACAGTTCTACAGGAGTGAGGAACAAGGGGAGACAATTTAGCTTACCCCTTGGAATTTTCAGAGGGACAGGAGTGTCTTTTGTGTGCTAATGAATGACTCATGGGGAGAGGGGCCTAAAGAGCCTCAGATGCGGGGGCTGGTCACCAGAAAACCCAACTAGGTGGTTAGAGGGTTAGAACTTTCAGCTCCATCCCCCAACCTCCAAGAAGGGGAAAGGGGCTGGAGATGAGTTCAGTCACCAATAGAAAGTGATTTCATCCATCATGCCTATGTAATGAAACCTCAATAAAAAAACTCAGAATGATGAGGCTTGGGGGAGCTTCCAGGATAGTGAATATATCCACGTGCAGGGAGGAGGCTTGTCCAGAGACGGCATGAAAGAGCTGTGCTCACCCACCCCCATGCCTTGTCCTATTCATGTCTTCCATTTGGCGGTTCCTGAGTTGTACCCTGTATAATAAAACTGTAATTCTACGTATAGTGCTCTCCTGAGTTCTGTGAGCTGTTCTAACAAATTGTCAAATCTTGGAGTGAGCAGTCACCAGAAGCCCTGAATTTGTAGTTGGCCCAGTAGCAGTGAGGTAGCCTGGGGACCCATTTGTGCTTAGTGTCTGAAGTGGGAGCAGTCTTGTGGGACTGAGCCCCTAACCTGCAGGATTTGCTCCAACTATGGGTAGTGTCTGAATGGAACTGAACTGTGAGACACTGAGTTGGTGTCAGAGAATTGGAGAATTTGTTGTTGTCTGGAAAAATCAAGCAAGGTATGAAAGTATACAGAATGAAGGGTAGTGAGAAGAGTGTTCCAGAAAATGGGATAAGCATGTACAAATGCTCAGTGTAGGGAAAGAGCTTGTGCTTTTGAAGACATAGGAGATGGTCCTGGTAGCAGAAATGTGGAAGAGAAGAGTGCAAGCTGAATATGGAAAAGCGGACGCCAGTTCACCCAGGACGCTGAATTTTATTTTAGATACGACAGGAAGGTAAGGGGCTAGATACATGATCTTTAAAGGTCTTCTCTGGACTTTTTGTGGATTCTGGAGGGGCCAAAGTCAAGTGAAAAGGTCCAGGCGAGACTGTGATGCTAGGGTTGGTGGGGTGGGGAGTGGAGGTGGAGAGTGCACTGACGGCCACAGCTCTGGGGCCTGGTAAGGGAGTGCCTGCTGAGTGAAAGCAAGAGAAGTGGCTTGGAACCAGCAGAGCCATGTTGCCAGTTAGTGAGGTGGGGAACACCGGTGAGGAAGGATGGAATTGGTCACTTCTGGGCATGTCGTGCTGCAGATGGGGAAGGCAGAGTCCAGTCAGAGAACACAGAGTGAGAAGACGGCCAGGGTCAAGGTCTGGGAAAAAATCAACAGTGAGAGGCTGAATAGAAAAGATTGCATAATAGGCAGGCTAAGAAGCAGCAGTAGGGCAGCATGGGTCAGAGACGGCTGGAAGAGTCTCGCTCATGAAGCAGTCAGTTGGTTGATATCACCGAGAAGTCAAGAAGAGGAGAACCAAAAAGTATCCTTTGGATTTGGCAATATAGTGTCCTGCTTAATCTGTGGGGTTACATTCCCAGCCTCCCAGTGGATGCGTGAAACCATGGATAGTACTGAACCCTACATATACTATGATTTTTAGATCTGATAACCAAGACACTAGTGGGTGGGTAGCATAGGGGCGTGGATACACTGGACCAAGGGATGATTCCTATCCCAGGTGGGACGAAGCAGGATGGCACGACATTTCATCACACTACTCAGAATGGAGTACAATTTAAGACTTATAAATTGTTTATTTCTGGAATTTTCCACTTAATGTTTTTGGACCACGGTTGACCCTGAGTAATTGAAACTGTGGAAAGTGGATCTCTGTCTTGTTCCCAAACTCAAACTTCTAACATTCTACCATTAAGAAAGTGGTTTGCTGTTGACTTTTTATGTTGTTCCATTATCAGTGTTCCAGAAGTTTCTTTCTAGTTTTCTAAGAAATTTTTTTAAAAATGAATGGGTATTAAATTTTATCAAATGCTTTATCTCCTCCATTGATTAAGATGATCACAGTATTCTCCTTTTTGTTTTTTGAGATGGAGTCTCGCACTGTTGCCCAGGTTGGAGTGCAGTGGCGCGATCTCGGCTCACAGCAAGCTCTGCCTCCCAGGTTCACGCCATTCTCCTGTCTCAGCCTCCCGAGTAGCTGGGATTATAGGCGCCCACCACCGCGCCTGGCTAATTTTTTGTATTTTTAGTAGAGATGGGGTTTCACCGTGTTAGCCAGGATGGTCTCGATCTCCTGACCTCGTGATCCACCCACCTCGGCCTCCCAAAGTGCTGGGATTACAGGCGTGAGCCACTGCACCCGGCCTAAAAAGGTTATGTTACCAATGAAGCCACCTGGGGCCTAGAGTTTTCACTATGACAAAACTTAAATTAGTGTTGTTTTAAAAATGGATACAGAACTATTCAGGCTCCTTACTTCTTCTGTGTCAGTTTTGGCAAGTTGCATATTTTTCTTTTAATGGTCCCATTCCATCTGTTTCATTTTCAAATTCATTCACATAAAGTTGTTCATCAAATACCCTTCTGGAGGAAAAAAACGTCTGCGGGATTTGGAGGAATGCCCCCTTTTTTATTTCTGACATTGGCTACATATACCATATACCTTCTCTCTTTTTTCCTTGGTTAATCTTGCCAGGGGTTTGTCAATATTATTCTTACTCTTTTCAAAGATCCAACTGACAGTTTTTAAGATCCTCTCTACTGTACTTCTTCCCTTAGATCATTAATTTTTGCTCTTATTTATATTTTTCTTTCTTCTACTTCTTTAGGTTTAATTAGCAGTTCTGAGTTATTGAGAGGAATGTTTTTTCTTTTCTAATATGTGCTTTTAAAGCAGTGATTCTCAACCTTAGCTGCACATTGGAATCACCTGGAGAGTTTTCAAATGTTTGGGGTGCACCCCTAGAGGTTCTGAGTCAAATGGTCTGAAGAGTGGCTTGGACATCAAAAGCTCCGCAAGTGATTCTAGGTGCAGCTAAGGTGGAGAGCCACAGATTTACAGCTATAACCTCGAAGCACAACTTTAACTGCAACCCACAAGTTTTCAGTATTTTCTTCATCAACCAAATCATCTTAAAATTTATGTTGTGATTTCATTTATATACATTTTGACTGAGCGCAGTGGTTCATGCTTGTAATCCCAGCACTTTGGGAGGCAGAGGCGGGTGGATCACTTGAGGTCAGGAGTTCGAGACCAGCCTGGCCAACCTGGTGAAACCCCGTCTCTGCTAAAAATACAAAAATTAGCCATGCGTGGTGGCACGTGCCTGTAATCCCAGCTACTTGGGAGGCTGAGGCAGGAGAATTGCTTGAACCCGGGAGGCGGCGGTTGCTTGCAGTGAGCCAAGATCACAACACTGCACTCTGGCCTGGGTGACAGAGAGAGACTAAGTTTCAAAAAAAAAAAAAAAAAAAGAAATAATTCATATGCATTTCAAAAATAGCAAATGCAATGTATGGTTTGAGAAGTCAGGTAAATGGTACCTTTGGGGAAGAGGCAGGGGGTTGTGAGTGAGGGGAAACACAAGAGGAACTTCTAGAGTATTGGTAATATTAACTCTTGTTCTCAGTGAACAAGAGAATGGAACAGATGGAATGGGATCATTAGAAGAAAACTATATACAACTTGCCGAAACTGACAGAGAAGAAATAAGAAGCCTGAAGTGTTCTGGGTGAACAAGAGATAATATTATCAATACTCTAGAAGTGTTCAATTTGTGATAATTCACTGAGCTACACACATAGGATTTGCAAATGTTTCTGTAACTTTATATTACACTTAAATATACTTTTCTTTTTAAGAGAGAAAACGGATCCCATACAAAGAGTGGGAATTATAACAGCACTAGCCTTCTCAATATTATACTGGACACTAGAAAAAATAGTATAACGTCTTCTAAATTCTAATGGAAAATGATTTTGAACCTAGAATTCTGTAGTCAGACTTTTTTTTTTTTTTTTTTTTGAGACAGGGTCTCACTCTGTCACCCAGGATGGAGTGCAGTGGTGCAATCTCCGCTCACTGCAACCTCTGCCTCCTAGGCTCAAGCCATTCTCCTGCCTCAGCCTCCTGATTAGCTGGGACTACAGGCTTGCGCCACCTCACCCAGCTAATTTTTGTATTTTTTGTAGAGACAAGGTTTTGCCATGTTGTCCAGGCTGGTCTCGAACTCCTGAGCTCAAGTGACCCACCCACTTTGGTCTCCCAAAGTGCTAGAAATACAGGTGTGAGCCATAGCACCTGCCCCCAGAAATTCAATCAAATTGTAGGATAAAATAAATATATTTTCAGTCAGGAGAGCTCACAGAAAAGTTATCTCCCAGGCATCTTTTCTCATAAATCTAGAGAATGTGCTCCAGTAAAAAGAGGGAATGGATAGGAAGGTGAAGACATGGGATCTGGGAAACAGAGACTTCAATATAGGAGGAAGGCAAAGGAAGTTTCCAAATGACAGTTGTGCAGCAGGCCTCAGGAACAAGTGCACTTGGGGGCAGGAGGTGGGAAGGTTCTAGGGTGGGCAACTCCGAGAGAAATTCAAACCAAGAGAGCACCTTCCTGTGTGTGACCATTGTGAGATTTTTCAGTTCTGTCACAGTACAATGATACTTTATTTTATTTTATTTTTTACTGTTCTAAAGGTACATCAGCAAGAGTATAGTGATAAATCAGGGGTAGGCACATAGAAAAATCAAACAATTAAAAAGCCAAAACATGGCAAATACTACATTTAGGATAAGCAAAGAATGATCCTTCTACCCAAAAAATGTGGTAGTGTAATCACTGTTCAATGCAGCTGTGAATAAGAGTTTTATGGCCATAACATAGATAGGGATCACTGATTTAGCCATGCATTATGATACAATGGTATTAAATGAAAGAGATGGGGCTTTTGTATGCTTTTGTGGTGTGAGGGGAGATGCTAGGGGAGGCCATGTAACACAGTATATCCTCATCTTCTACAGTAGGACATCAAAAGAGAACTTAACTGAAAAACCAAGTGTAAACACAGAGAAGTAAAAAACAAAACAATTTAAATTGGGGGACGTGGGGTGGGGAAGGCGCAAGGCAGGCTATTGCTGCTTTCTGTTTTAAAAACTGCAGCACGTTTTTTGTCTTTTTCAATTATTTGTCTATAGTATTTTCATAAAGATAAAATTAGACTACGAAAAAAACTATGGAAATAAAAGAAAATCCCAGGGCACTAAAAAATCACTTTCAGCTTTAAAACTTTGGATAATCACCAGAATCATCTCTTGAACAAGCATAAGCATATGTGTAGCTCACATCAGTAACCATTATTAATTAAATGTTGTTTTAGTCCCAAATTCTCCCCATATGAAGAGCCAAATTATCTATAGGATGCATGCAAAATTAATACAGGATACATGCAAAGCCCCCCGCTGGAAGCCAGAACATACAAACCAAACGTTTTCACTTTGTCATGCTAGATTGAGTTTATATTACTGTAACTGACATCTAACTTTTCAGGAACACATATGAAGTAAATTTAATCTGTGGTGGAAACACAGGATTATTCTTTTTATCTTTTAGGAGCTGATACTCTATTAATGGATCTAGTGCCTAAATCAAAAGAACAGAGAGAGTCTGTATAAGCAAAATTACCTGAAGAAAGTCACGAAGAACTGTACCAGGTCCATAAAATTGCTGTGCTGAGAGAAGGCAATCTGTGACAGAAAAACAGGTAGTGTGATTATGCAGGTCATGAAACCACCACGGATTCACGCTTCTCATTTCAAGAGTTAAGCTGAAAACAGAGCTTACATTTTAAAGAAGTTAAGGAAACTTTTTTCACTTAAGGAAAAGTACCTCACCCCTTTAGTTTACTTGTTTAGTTGCCAGTCCCATAGCAATACACTGAGGCTTTAGCACAGCCTCCTGCAGCCCCTTCTAAGCTTCACACCAGTTCTGAGGTTCTGTCTGTTTGACCCTGGAGACCCTCGCATGCCTCCATGAAGCCTGGCGCTCCCTCCCTGCGCCTCCACCCACACACAAAGCTCTCCTTGTTTGCCTCAGTACCAATTCATGGCTCTGCCTCCAGGTGGGCAGCCCCATTCTGTGCTCTTCATTTGGTCAACATTTATGTACTCAGTGTGTACTGACTGCAAGATATTGTCCTTTTTACAAAAAATTGTGCCTCGCGTTTTGCTACACTGAACATCATCTGACACTACGTCATCAGAACTTAAATAATTTTATTATACAGTTAATAGTCTTCATACCAAGAATATAAAAATGCAACATATTTCATCAACTCTAAAATAACATTGGCTGAAAAAGGCATTATTCTGTGTATAATTTAGGAAAAACACTGTCAATTTAACTATGACATAATGCTTTTTAAGTCACTGACCATAAGATGCATCATGATTTCAGGGATATTAGCCCACGAAAAAATGCATACCTCCAAATTGATTAAATACGAGAATTGTGTCCTTACTATCACCGATAATATACGTGCTACTAGCCAGATGTTGTGGTGCGCTGCCTGCTTTTTTTTAGGGAACTCAGCCCTCTTTGGAGAGACAATGGTACTATAAACGAAACAATTACTGACCAAGGTGACAATCCCAGTACAGACAATTCTCATGACAAACACAGGAAGGTAAATGACGAGCATCTGCTTTCCTAGTCCCACCAAACCCCAACCCCTTGCACTGTTTTTAGAGCCAGACTCACAGGGGCCAGAAAATAGACTTCCACTGTTTGCTTTTTTGATGGCCCTATTTTCTTTTTGACATTCCATAAATAAATAAATTCCAACACTATTCAGGCCATAATATATTATGGGGCTTGGAATTTGAAGTTTTTGTGTCCTCCCTCTGGCTACCATTTATAATCAGAAATACAAAGTTACATCAATTTCATACAATAAACAGAAACCCACTTTCTTTTCTTTTCCTTCATTTATCACAATAACCAGTCCTAGCTCCTTGAGAGAAGGAAAGCTGCGGAATATGAGCCATGGTCCTCACATAAAAGTTTTAGATAAGACTGGAGAATTATATAAACAAGGTCATTTTGGGGAATGAAGAATCCAAGTTATAACACATAAAGAGAGAGAAGGAAACAGATTAGAGTCCACCCCAGCCCTGTCTGGATTTCAATCTTTTAAAACGTTAAGTGTGTCCTCGGTGTTTACACTTAAAGAATCTATGAGATACTTTTACTCCCTGCTAGATGCCAAAAACCACTGGATGCTAAGGGCACTGTCTGAGGACTTATCTGGTGTTCATGCGCCCTGTGCCACACAACACTCCTCAGGGCAGCCCCCGCCTTTACCCACACTGGATGCTAATGGTTATTAGCCTGATTTCTTGCTGAAGCAGGACCACTCCATGTTCATGTCCAAATTATAATCATAAAGAACCTCATATAAAACAGCTTTTGGTATGGCTGGTACCCAAGACTTTAAAGGGATCCTCTTAGTTGAATCTTTATCATCTAAGTCTCCATAGTTACAAGATTGTGTGAGGAGGCAAAGGTCATAACGTGAAAATGTTTATGAAAGCACTGACCACTTAGAAACATCTAACCCTGCTGAATACCCCGCCCACTGCGGTCAGTCTTTGTTGGTCAACCTTTGACTGACAAGATGACAAACTTATTGTTCAAACTGAACACTTCTGAAGATGAAGGAGAGTGCTGTTAAAAATTACACGAGGTAATTAAAAATTACTCAATGTAAAAGGCATAAACTTGATTAACAAACATACATTGGGCTGTCCCTACTCACAGACTGTCATACAATGCCAACCAACTGTAAAATCCATCTTGTAAAAGACAAGATTTTAGTGGAAGCGCTGTTGGAGAACTGCTCGCACAAAACCATTGGCAAAGGAAGACTTGGCAGATTTAGCCCTTCAGTTATCAACTGAAGAAGGGATAAAGGATGAAGCCATAGGAAGTGTTTCATAATTCTCTAAACGAGATTAAGGGAGGACTTTGGGAAAACTAAGGAGTTTCCTGGCTGTTGCTTTTTACATCCTGCTGTGAAGTCTCAAGTGAAGGACTCCATGATGGAGCTATCAGATTTCTGGGCACCATGTGCACAACTGAAGCCACACCCCCATCTCTTTATCTTGCTCTATTTAATTCATAGCCCGTATTTGTACACTTACTTATGGAAAATAAGATCTGTGAGGATTGAAGACAGAGACTTCCCCTTATCCCACTGACCATATATCTCCAGTGCCTAAAGCAGCCACTGATACATTAATTGGCACTTAATAAACATTTGCTGAATAAATGAATATGTTAATAAGAAAAATAATGATCTGTCTCACAGAACTCAGTAAGATCTGATTTTTTTTTCTTTTATGAACTTGGCTCATGAAGCAGCACCATACCTGCTTCATGATTGTAACTATAAATGTTGTTAACTCTAAAATTAAAGTATTTTCCCATACTTTTTGGTTTCATTTTTAAAGACAATATCCCAATCAAATCTTTCTTTCACAATTTATTATGGAAACGGTGAAATAGATTTGGGGGCCTTTCTGATACTGAAGGTAATGAAAATTTCCTATATAAAAATCTATTTTAATACAAAGAAGAAATTCTTATTTTATAAATAAAACTCATAATGTCATTCTTCTCTGTTTCCAAACAGTAGACACCATACTCCACACTCCAAGAAACCTAGAATTCACGTCCTACGACTTCCACAACCCAATTCCAACTCCACTTTCATCAATATGTCTAAGGTGTATCTGCCCCATGGGCCTTCTGGATGTGTTCATCAATTCTGAAAAACTCTGAACTCGGAAGCTCAGTGAGCCCCAGGGTTTGGGGTAAGATATTACGGACCTGCACTTCCTCAATCACTAATGTTGCACTTCAGCCAAAAGTGCTTCCGCTCACTCTACTACTGTACTACTGTACCTGACGGCAGATGTCACCAGAGAGCCTCCCTGCCTGTGTGCATGGGGGTCCTCCCTGTCCTTTCTGGCTCAGCACATCACTGCCTCCGTTTTTAAGCATCCCCGGCCCCACTGGAAACTCTGGCAGGCTCTCCTCTACGCTCCCTCACCATTGATCTGCTTCCCTCTCAGGGCGTGTGATAATTATGGTCTATATAGGGGTGTCCAATCTTTTGGCTTCCCTAGGCCACACTGGAAGAATTGTCTTTGGCCACACATAAAATACACTAACACTAACACTAACGATAGTGCTGATGAGCTTAAAAAAAAATAAAATAAAAAAATCATGTTTTAAGAAAGTTTATGAATTGTGTTGGGCTGCATTCAAAGCCGTCCTGGGCTGCATGTAGCCCGCGGGCCATGGGTTGGACAAACTTGGTCTACCATATACCATGGCTGTGTAAAGACAGACATCCTGAGAAGAGGATTCCTGCATTCTTCTGTCTATGAAGACACCAATTCCTAACTTTTAAATTACTGTTGTAGAAGAATGAATGAAAAGGTAACTTCCTACCTCCCATACAAGAGCAGATACACTTTTGTATTCCAAGAACTAGGCCATGGCTCTCAAACTCTGGATAGCTTACAACAAAGTCAGAATCTCAGGCCCTATCCCTGTCTCTATATCTTTAAGCTCCTCCAGTGATTCTGATGCTAGTCTCCATAGGCCACACTTCAGGAAACTCTGAAGTAAGAAATTATTTAAACATCAGGCTGGATGCAGTGGCTCACGCCTAATCCCAGTACTTTGGGAGGCTGAGGTGGGTGGATCACTTGAGGCCAGGAGGTCGAAACCAGCCTGGCCAACATGGCAAAACCCCATTTCTACTAAAAATACAAAAATTAGCTGGCGTGGTGGTGTGCACCTGTGATCCCAGCTACTTGGGGGGCTGAGGCACAAGAATTGCTCAAACCCAGGAGGTGGAGAGGTTGCGGTAAGCCAAGATCGCACCACTGCACTCCAGCCTGGGTGACAGAGCGAGACTGTCTCAAAACAAAACAAAACAAAACAAAACAAAACAAAACAAAACAAAACTCCTCCTGTGCTCCTTTCCCTGGACAATTTCTTTAGCATTTCAGGAACTGCATTGAAAAAAAAAAATCCTCGCCTTTAATTGGAAGGTTAAATCCCCATAATTAGTTTGGCTCTTTTGGGGAGTGGGAGGGAGATGGGGAAGGATAAGGGTAGAGGAAGAGAGGACAGTGCTTTGAAACAAAAGGAGAGGCAGGGCCCAAACCTGGAGGCAGGGAAAGGGAGGGAATGGAGGGGAGGTTTTGCATTCTGAAAGTGCCTGGGAATGTAGGGTGTCCTTGTGGCAGGCTAGGGAGGCTCTGGTGCTTAAGTGTCATTCTATGTCCAAGCCTGTGCCACACAAGAGTGAGGATGCTGCCCTCAAGAGTGAGGGGCCAGGGAATCGGGCGCAGCAGTCAGCGACTGAAGATCAGACCAGGGGACCTTCCCCAACCTCTGAGCTCAGTTCAGCCCTGAGGTTTCTGTATGTTCCTGAGGGAAGAGAATGGGTCTCTGCCAAAACAGAGGCTGAGAATGAATTTCTAATTAAGTATGGTGGGTAGAACCTGAGTCCAAGATTACCATAAAAATATGGAAGCATGGCATTTCTTATATTCCACTACCACATAACAAATGCTTTCCATTTTAAAAATGATTGTATTTTTGCATCTACTATGTGCCATCCACAAAGAAGGTACTCAAAAACTTGAATAAATGGATGAATGAATGAATACTGAATGACTAGGAAAAGTCACTGTTTAATACAGCAGATTTGAAAAGAGAGAAGAAAGGACCTTTCATTGGCCTCTGGCCTCATTCAGGACTTGCGTTCTGGTCGGAAGGATAAAACTGGCATTTCTAAGTCAATACCAGAGTTTCCTTTTCAGAAGGTAAGACACCGTGGTGCAGAACTAATTACACTTTATGTAGCACTCATCTAAGTCTACTGACCATATGCTGTGGAACCATGGACTGCAGAAAGGGCTGCATTATTTCTACCATGGAGATGTCTATCTATCCATTATCATGAGCACACAAGACAGGGAGAGGAAGAGAAAGGACAGCTGGCCACCCTGTGAGGTGAAGTCTTTCCGCTTCAAGGCAGCACCTGTCAGGCTCCGAGAAAACGCAAGGTATGTATGTACTGGGCAGAATCTCCGCAGGCTCCCAACGACCCCCTGGGACCAGCGGCCCCACCAAGGGTGAGAGCTCAGCCCAGAAGGAGCCCATGTGCTCCTCTATTCTCCTTGAGGCCTCTACTCTTCTTGGCTTTGCAAAGGATGGAAGATTCCGTGAGCCCTGGCTAAGTACATTCTAACCTGGGTCTTGTGCTGTCACCTCCTTGAGTTTGGCTGTGACATAAAACAACTCTTCCTTTTTTCTTAAAAAACGAAACAAAACCACCACCACCACCAAAGTTCATACATGGAACTCTATGTCAAGACCACAGCTCTGGACCAGATCCATATGACCATCACCCGGCCTCACACACCACGCACCTAATGCTGGTTTGTGCTGGCACAGAAACTGTATACCCAAGCTCTGGTCAGAGCCCCATGGCCAGTTAATGCCATTCAGCCACTCATTCCTGCCATGCAAACGAACACTCACCATCTGTCTGCTCCCAACCTCCCACCTCAATACTGCTCTGTGCTTTCTTTCCCTAATTTTCTCCTAGCAATTCCTTTTGACCATTCTCCAGAATTCCTATTCTATCACACTCATTAACAATTTAGAAATCATTAGAGAACTACATACTTAGCTGAAATATCAAAAGGTACTGAAAGGCTAGTCATGAAAAGCAATGTTCCCTGCTCTTCCTCTGCTCTTCTGAAGGCTTCTCTCCAGGGACCCCCACCTTGAACTAGGTTACTTTTCAGTTCTTCTGGCAGTTGCCTTTTTATCATTAATGTTTTTATTGTTATTTCCTGATCTATCCATTTTAGGCATCACTTTAACCAACCTCTTACTGAAACAGAAGGTGATTTTGGTCATCAGCCCCGCCCCTCCCTCCAGTATATATCACTGCTCTTAGTGCCTCTGTTAGTTCCTGTGCCATTATCCTGAGGGTGACAGTGATGGAAAGATGCCACCACAGATAGGAAGTGGACATGACTCTCTGGGATATGGGGAGACGATGTGCCTGTTACCCACACACAGCTACAAGATCAGAAGACAATGCAGCCATAGCCCACTGAAGGGCGGCTTCCCAGGCCCCACAGGGAGGAGCCCTCAGACCCTGATGCACCTGTGCGTCGGGGTGAAGGCAGGAGGCTTGCTGGGAAGCTCCGTTTTCCATTCTCACCAAGACAGGTGGGCTGGTTTGAGGGAGAGGGAGTTTTGCCCCTGACCCCTGAGTGTTCTAGAGACTGTCCACTGTTAACTGGTAAAACCCCCGTACAATGCTGTGTACTTCCTGTAAAGGCGAACAGAACTTCAGCTCCAGGGTGCACTATGCTCCAGGCCCGCCCAGCAGAGGCATGCTCCTGTAGCTGTCTGTAGGAGGCCAAATCATATACTCATACCTTTATTTCTTCTTCTACCACCTGTATTATTCTTTTCATTGTGTAATTTTTTTTCTTTTTTAGTAGGGATGGGGGTCTCACTATATTGCCCAGGCTGGTCTCGAACTCCTGGCTTCAAGTGATCCTTCCGTCTCAGGCTCTCAAAGTGCTGGGATTACAGACATGAGCTACCATGCTCAGCTTCTTTTTCATTTTGGAAAATCTTAAGCTTTTTAAAAAGTAGAAAGAGCACTATAATGAACCTCACACGCTCATCATCCTGCTTTAGTAAATTATCAGCTCAAGGCCAACCTTGTTTCATCCACACTACACTTACTTTCCCTATGATCATATTATTTTGAAGCATTCCCCAGACCCAATCATTTCCCTCTTAACTATTTCAATATTGACAGGAGCACTGAACTTTCTTCTTTGTAAAATTTGGATGTTTATGTCCTCAGCCCTCCCTTTTCTTCTATCTTCTAACTCTCTGGACAAAATTCTAACCAACAACAATCCAATCTTCTAACTCCACGCTGTGTAGACTGAGATAACAGATTCTTGGTTGCCAACCTCAGCCAGCCCATAGCACTGGTCAGCAATTGTTCTGACAATATCAGAAAAAGGTGTCGGCTCCTTTATAAAAGTTATAAAAGTTGTAAAAAAGAAAAAGTTCTGATACCTACCGTAAAGCCCTTATACTAACAACTATATACTCATCTGGCATACATTTAGGGAGTATCTCCAACTGATTAGCACATGACACTGAGGACACTGAGGGATAAAAATGCGATCCTTGCCATTAAGAAATCTTCGTATAGTGGAAACAGACACTCTGCTGTGGAGGTGCAGAGGAGGAAAGGAAGTTGCTATGGGATGTGTGTCATCAGATGGTCCCCTTCCCTGGGTTTCTACACAAGAATTCCACCTGGACTCCCTGGACTCCTGGACCTCCTAAGTCCTCCCAGGACTTAGGCCTGGCTCCTTCCAATCCACACTCCCAACTGCTGCCAGTGGGGTCTTTCTAAACACTGATCGTCGGTGACTTTTCGGCCTAAAACATCTCAACAATTCCCAGTCACATCAGGACTCAAGTTCACAGCCTGCAATCTCCAGTCTCTTCATAATGGCCCTCCCCAGCTCTCCACCTTCTTGCTCATAGCACTGTCACCAGCTCTGCTAAACTCCTGGTAGTTCCTGAAAGGGCTGGTCATTTCCTTTCCCCACCACGAACACCCCCTTCCCCCGCCCCCATGCTCCTTAGGAATCAGCTCTGGTGTGATCTCTCTTAACTTGGACTCAGGTGACACAGGGCACTCCCCTCCCCTCTCATGGCTCCCAGGAATGCATGGGCACACCTCCAACACCGAGCTTCTAACGAGGTGCCTGCTGTCCACTCACAGCTGCTGCTCTGGGCCAGAAAGTCTGCTGGCTGAATGAATTTTAAGGAAGTCTAGTGGGTTCCTGGCTCTGGAGATCACAGGAGAGAAGTCTGCTAGAGACAAAGATTTACCTGTCCAGCCAAAGGCAATGTTCCCAGATGGTGTGGATGAGATTGCCCAGGGAAAAAGAGTCCAGATGAAACCCAAGGGAACAATAGCATTAAAGAGCTGACAAGAGACAACCAAAGCGAAAGCTGAAAAGCAGGGGACTTTCGAGACAAAGGAATAACACATTTTTCTTTTTTTTTTTTTTAATTATACTTTAAGTTTTAGGGTACATGTGCACAACATGCAGGTTTGTTACATATGTATACATATGCCATGTTGGTGTGCTGCACCCATTAACTCGTCATTTAACATTAGGTATATCCCCTAATGCTATCCCTTCCCCTTCCCCCCACCCCACAACAGGCCCTGGTGTGTGATGTTCCCCTTCCTGTGTCCATGCGTCCTCATTGTTCAGTTTGCACCTATGAATGAGAACAAGCGGTGTTCAGTTTTTTGTCCTTGCGATAGTTTGCTGAGAATGATGGGGGCAACATGGTAAAACCCTGTCTCTACTAAAATACAAAAAATTAGCTGGGCGTGGTGAAGTGTTCCTGTAGTCCCAGCTACTCGCAAGGCTGAGGCACGAGAATCACTTGAACCCAGGAGGCAGATGTTGCAGCGAGCCAAGATTGCACCACTGTACTCCAGCCTGGGCGACAGAGTGAGACTCTGTCTCCAAAAAAAAAAAAAAAGAAAAAAGAAAAAAGAAAAGAATTAAACTGTACTTAAAAGCATGTGTCTTTCTTTGTTTCAAACTATATTTAAGGTTCTTGTACAGCCTTGTGGGTTTCATCATAAAGAAAAATTTTTTTTTTTTTTGGAGACAGGAGTCTTGCTCTGTCGCTCAGGCTGCAGTACAGTGGTGCAATCTTGGCTCGCTGCAACATCTGCCTCCTGGGTTCAAGTGATTCTTGTGCCTCAGCCTTGCAAGTAGCTGGGACTACAGGAACACTTCACCACGCCCAGCTAATTTTTTGTACTTTAGTAGAGACAGGGTTTTACTATGTTGCCCAGCCTGGTCTCAAACTCCTGAGCTAAAGCGATCTGCCCGCCTCGGCCTCCCTAAGTGCTAGAATTACAGCACAACCATATAATTCTTAAAACTCTTAAGATACAGACAATTAACACCAGGAGGTACGGATATGCACTGTTATTATACAATAAATATAAACATTAAAAGTATATCTGACACTATTCATAATAGCCAAAGAGTGAAAACCACCCAAGCATCCATCGATAGAAAAATGGATAAACAAAACGTGGTATATACATATAAGGAAGATTATTCAGCTATGACAAGGAATAAGTACTGAAACATACTAAACACGGGTGAACCTTGAAAACAGTATGCTAAGTGAGAGCATATCATGTGACTCAATTTATATAAAATGTCCAGAATAGGCAAATCCACAGAGACAGGAAATACAGACTGGGGGTTGCCGGAAGAGGGGGGAATGAGGACTGACTGCTAGGGGCTTCTTCTGGAAGTGGTGAAAATATTCTAAAATTGGCTGTAGTGACGGGTGGCTGCACGCTTCTGTGAATACACTGAAAACCACTGAATTGTGTACTTTAAATGAGCGAACTGTATGGTATGTAAATGATGTCTCAATAAAGCTGTTATAAGAAAAAAAGCACATCCAAGTGAACAAAAGTTTCACACATCCCTTGCTCAGTATAGCGATCCTGTTAGCACCCATAAACAGAACTCTAAAATCTAAATGAATGCCCAGTTCTCAATACCAATTCTGTGTTGCCTTTACTTGTGAACACTGGCCTCTTACATAAAACAGTAGATGAAACACCCAGCACGCAGACTTCTATATTAGCTCCACATTACAGTAACAACCTCTGTTGCAGAGTCGGGAACGAGCCAGAGCCTCACCACTCCACCTTCCCACCTCACACACTTTCTGTCCAACCATCTTCTATCTTGAATACCTACCGCCCACGCCCCCAAACTATGGACATAGCTGAAGCCGGCTGAGCCCCGGCTTACTGGGGAGAACAACTAGGATAGCTTTCAGAAAGCAGGGGCAGAGGGAAGGGTGCTCACCCACAGGAACAACCAATCAAAAAACAGGCACAACCGGCCCCAACACACCCGCCACCCTCCCAGAAACAGGACTTTTCAGTCTGTGGGTTTTGTTTGTTTTTTAGCTGCATCTACAAAGATTTTTATAGTCAGTTTCAAATTCCCTCAGCAGTTATAGGTTTTGATCTGTTCCTAATTATGGAAAAGAATCCTGGGATTGGTTCAGAGTGAAGGAACTTGAGTTTAGTATTACCATTTTTAAAGCCCCAATGCTTACACAAATTTCCAACTAGAGAATTAGATTTCCTCAGTTACTTTGCTTTAAAAAAATGAGAATCTCAATTTTTAAAATCTCATTTAAAAAATGAGAATCTCAATTTTTAAAATCTCATTTAAAAAAGGAGAATCTCAATTTTTAAAATCTCATTTAAAAAAGGAGAATCTCAATTTTTAAAATCTCATTTAAAAAAGGAGAATCTCAATTTTTAAAATCTCATTTAAAAAAGGAGAATCTCAATTTTTAAAATCTAATTTAAAAAATGAGAATCAAAGGCAAAACGGCTTTGCCTGCATCGAAAGCCATACTGAAATTTAACTGAATGGCCTACACTGCACTATTTAGACATTTCCCTACTGTCTTCCTTAAATAAGTCTCTCCATTTTTACTGAATTTGCACAGTTGCTAAATGTGTGTATTTAAGAGCCATGCTACACACCTAGAAAAGCTAAGTCTCTGGGGAAAAAACAGCAATAAAGAAACATGCAGCCCTTGTTGAGAACATGATGTATTTACCCAGGAAGACACGAGCTCAGCCCTCCACATAGCGCACAGCCAGATACGGTCCCCAAAGCAGAGAGAACCAGTGTCAACCAGGCTCTCATGCGAGGACTGAGAACACACGGTGACACGGGCCTAGTCACAGTGAATAGTGCAGTCATTTGTACCAAACAGCAAAAAGACACGTTTGCAATAGAACTTACCTGCGTTTTCAAGGAAAGCTTGGCAAACTAAATGGTGGGCATGCCATCGTTTATTTTCACAAGTGCTCCTGAATGCAGCATTCATAAGTGGATCTTAATTTAAGTTAGTGATCCAGAAAAGATAAGGAGCACCAGAAAACCAGGAAGAAAATCAACATCTCCTTGATTATGAAACTTAAAATTATTACTTCTTAGAAGTAAGTGTGGGGAAGAGCTCCCTCTAGAATGAAAGCTCTAAAACCACTTCAGTGACTTTCAGAGGGTGGAGCAATAGGGAACTGGGAGGAAAAAAACTCGGCATTGGCAACAAGTATGGCCATCTCCAGCACAAAAGCCTGCTTATAGGCACAGACTGGGAAAAGTGTCAGCAGCATAAGTCAAGATTTTCACTAAGAATCTAAAAAGTATTAATCATTTGTCAGCTATAAGCAACAAAGCACGATGTTCAATTAGATTGAGAATATGGAGAGGTATGTCAGTACAAAAACAATCTCAACTTAAAATGAGTAAATAAATAAATTTTATTTACTAGAACCCTAATCAAGTGTTTACATGAAAATAACCTAACAAATATATATAATCTATATCTTAATAGTGTCAGGAGATGTTGCCAAACTGAAATTATACTGACTGGAACCTAGAGCTCAACCTCTTTCGGATCGGAGAAACTACCGAAACCCCTGCAAGCTCTATTCCAAATGCAGCCTACAGCAGGGAGAATTCTAAGAATGCCCCCAAGATTTCCACCTCTTGATGGGCACGCTCTGTATCTTCCCTACTCCTGTGTGGGTAGGCCTGACCTAATCAGATAAGCTCCTTTAAAACAGGGTCTAGAGATCAGAGTCCTAAGAAGTCAGAGAAATTTGAAGCTTCAGGATACTTATTCAATATGTGCATAGGTATATAAGATCTAAAATTTTCATTTTCAAATGTTATATAAATGCAATCATGCAGTATATAAATTTCTAAGATTTTCTTTTTCAATCAGCAAAATTTGCTTGGGATTTATCAAAGTTGTTGTGTTTCTGTATATCAACAGTTCATTTCTTTTTGTTGCTGGGTATTAGGCCATGGTGTGTATGTAGCATCATTTATTTAAGCATTCATTTGTTGAGGAATATTTGGCTTGTTTCCAGTTTTGGGCTATTATAAATAAAGCTGTTAAATATTGCTTTCAAGTGCTATAAACACGGGTGTACAGAGATTTGTGAGAACACTGGTTTTCATTTCTCTAGGATAAATGCCTAGGAATGCAATTGCTGGGTTATATGATAAGTATAACATTAGTTTTTTAAGAAACAAAGTATTTTCCAGAGTGACTGTACCATCTTATATTCCCACCAACAATGTATGAGTGATCCAATCTTTCCCCACTCTCTCCAACATTTGGTGTTATTACTATTTTTAATTTTAGTCATTTTGATAAGTGTGTAGTGTTATCTCATTGTGCTTTCAATTTGCATTTCTCTAATGGTTATTTTATTTTTATTTTGAGAGGCAGTCTCATTCCGTTGCCCAGGCTGGAGTGCAGTAGCACAATCTCAGCTCACTGTAACCTCTGCCTCCCAGGTTCAAGCGATTCTCCTGCCTCAGTATCCTGAGTAGCTGGGACTATAGGCATGTGCCACCATGCCTGGCTAATTTTTGTATTTTTAGTAGAGACGGGGTTTTGCCATGTTGGCTAGGCTGGTCTTGAACTCCTGACCTCAAGTGGTGATCTGCCTGCCTTGGCCTCCCAAAGTGCTGGGATTTCAGGTGTGAACCACACCTGGCCTCTCTAATGGTTATTGATGCCGATCATCTTTTATGTCATTATTTGCCATATGTATATCCTCTTTGGTTAAATGTCTATTCATGTCTTTTGCCCATTTTCTAACTGAATTGTTCGTTTGTTTACTGTTGAGTTTTGAGAGTTATTATATTCTAGATTCAAGTGCTTTCCCAGAAATATGGTTTGCAAATATTTTCTCCCAGTCCATAGCTTGCCTTTTCATCTTCATAACAGGGTTTCTCACAGAGCAAAAACTTTTGGTTTTATGTGGTCCAGTTTATCAAGTTTTCCTTTTATGAATCACGTTTTTAGTATCGAGTCTAAAAAGGTTTTGTTTCGTTTTGGGATTCAAAGATTTTCTCCTATATTTTTTTCTAAAAGTTTTATAGTTTTATGTTTTACATTTAGATCTGTGATCAATATTGCGTTAATTCTTATATAAGATGTGAGATTTAGAGATTCCTTTAGTTGCCTATGGTTGTCCAACTGCTCTAGCACTATTCGTTAAAAGGCTATCCTTTCTTCATTGAATTGCCTTTGCAGGGCCTTTGTCAAAAATCAGCTGGGGGCTGGGCGCAACGGCTCATGTCTGTAATCTTAGCACTTTGGGAGACCAAGGCGGGAGGATCACTTGAGCCCAGGAGTTTGAGAGTTTGAGACCAGACTAGGCAACACAGGGAGATCTCATCTCTACCAAAAAAAAAAAAAAAAAAAAAAAAAGAATTAGCCAGGCATGGTGGTATGCACCTGTAGTCCCAGCAACTTGGGAGGCTGAGGCAGGAGGATCACTTGAGCCAGGGAGGTTGAGGCTGCAGTGTGCTGTGACTGCACCACTACACTTTGGCCTGGGCGACAAAGTGAGACCCTGTCTCAAAAAAAAAAAAAAAAAAAAAAATTCAGCTGGAACTAGCGTGGCGGTGTGCACCTGTAATCCCAGTTATTCAGGAGGCTGAGGTGAGAGGGTTACTTGAGCCCAGGAGTCAAGACCAGCCTGGACATCATAGTGAGACCCTGTCTCAAAAAAACACCACAAACAAAATCAAATCCTAATCAGTTGGACATATTTATGTGGTTCTATTTCTGGGATCTACCTATAGATCAGCCTATCCCATTGATCTGTGTGTCTACCCCTCTACCTGAAACAATGTCTTGATTACTGTACCTAAATAGTAAGCCTTAACATTGGGTAGGTTGATTCTTCCCATTTTATTCTTCTTTTTCTAAATTGTTATAGCTATTCTAGAACTTTTGCCCTTTCATATAAATTTCAGAATAAGCTTGTCTATATCTACAAAAACATCTTGCTGTGATTTTTAAAGACTTTTTTTATTGTAGTAAGATATAACATAAAATCACTTTAACCATTTTTAAGTGTACAAATCAGTGGCAATAATTACATTCACAATTTTGTGCAACCAATATCACTACCTACTTCCAAAGCTTTTTCATCACCCCAAAGGGAAACTCTTTAATAACCATGAAGCAGTAATTCCCTATTTCCCGCTCCCCCTAGCTGCTGGTAACCTCCAATCCACTTTCTGTCTCTAAGAATCTGTGTACTACTCTAGATATTTCATGTTAAGTGGAATCATTCAATATTTGTCCTCTTGCAACTAGCTTATTTCACTTAGCATGTTTTCAAGGTTCACTTGTGTTGTCGCATGTATCAGAATTTCATTCCTTTTTAATGCTGAATAACATTTTATTTTATACACACACACACACACACACACACACACACACACACATACATACATACCACATTTTGTTTATCCATTCATCCACTGATAGATATTTGGGTTGTTTCCACATTTTGATTACTGTGAATAATGCTATCAACATTGGAATACAACAAAGGGTTTCATGAACACAGACGCTGCGAGCATTAGAGGACAGCATCAACAAGTTATCAACATATTTGACCAGAGCAACTAGGCAAAAGAAAGAAATAAAGGGCATCCAAACTGAAAGGAGGAAGTCAAAGTGTCCCTATTTGCAGTTGATATAATCTTATATACAGAAAACCCTAAAAGCTCCACCAAACTAAGAACTGACAAACTCAGTAAAGTTGCAGGATACAAAATCAACACACAAAAATCAGAATCATTTCTATATAGGAGCAACGAACTAGCAAAAGAAGAAATCAAGAAAGCAATCCCATTCTCGATAGATTTTTTTAAAACTTCCAAAAACAACCGTAGGAATAAATCTAACCAAGGAGGTGAAAGCCCTCTTTACAAGGAAAACTATAAAACACTGATGTAAGAAATTGAAGAGGTCACAAAAAAATTGAAAGAGACACCACATTTGTGGACTGAAATAATTAATATTGTGAAAAAAACCATACTACCAAAAGCTACCTACAGATTCAATGTAATCTCTACACCAATGACATTCTTCACAGAAATAGAAAAAACAATCCTAAAATTTGTATGGAACCACAGAAGACCTCAAATAGCCAAAGCATTTCTTTTTTTTTTTTTCTTTTTTTTTTTGAGACAGAGTCTCGCTTTGTTTGCCCAGGGTAGAATGTAGTGGCGTAATCTTGGCTCACTGCAGCCTCCTCCTCCCGGGTTCAAGAGATTCTCCTGCCCCAGCCTCCCAAGTAGCTGGGATTACAGGCACCCACCACTGCACATGGCTAATTTTTGTATTTTTATTAGAGACAGGGTTTTGCCATGTTGGCCAGGCTGGTCTCGAACTCCTGACCTCAGGTGATCCACCAGCCTCGGCCTCCCAAAGTGCTGGGATTATAGGCACGAGCTGCTGTACTCAGCCAACCAAAGCATTTCTGAGCAAAAAGAACAAAACTGGAGGCATCATATCACCTTACTTCAAAATATGCTACAAAGCTATAGTACCCACAACAGCATGATACCAGCATAAAAACAGATACACGGACCAGTGGAACAAAATAAAGAACTCAGAAATAAATCCACATATTCACGGCCAACTGGTTTTCAATAATGGAGTCAAGAATATTCAGTGAGGGAAAGGACAGGTTCTTCAATAAATGGTGCTGGGAAAACTGGATATCCACGTGCAGAAAAATAACACTAGGCCCCTCTCTCTCACCACATACAAAAATCAAATTTAAATGGATTAAAGGCTTAAGTATAAGACCTAAAACCATAAAACTACTAGAAGAAAATATTGGGAAAATCCTTCAGGACATTGGTCTGGGCAAAGATGTTTTGTGTAAGATGTCGAAATCACAGGCAACAAAAGCAAAAATCGACAAATGGGATTATATCAAGCCAAAAAGCTCTACAAAGCAAAGGAAACAAGAGAGTGAAGAGACAGCTTATAGAATGAGAGAAAATATGTTCAAACTATCCATCCAACAAGGGATTTATAACCAGAATATACCAGCAATTCAAACAACTCAATAGGAAAAAAACTTGATTTAAAAATGGGCAAATGATCTGAATAGAGATTTGTCCAAAGAAGACATACAAATGGCCAACAGGCATATGAAAAAAATCTCAACATCAGTAACCATCAGGCAAATGCAAATCAAAACCATAATGAGAAATCATCTCATCCCAGTTAAAATGGCTATTATTAAAAAGACAAAATAACAGATGCTGGCGAGGATACAGAGAAAGACGATACTAGTTCACTGCTGGTGGGAATGTAAATTATTTAGTACAGCCACTATGGAAGACAGTATGAAGACTGCTCATAATAGATCCACCACATGATCCAGCAATCCCGCTGCTGGGTATATATCCAAAAGAAAGAAAATCAGTATACTGGAGAGATACTGCATGCTCTAAATGTTTATCACAGCACTATTCACAAGAGTGAAGACATGGAATCAACCTACGTGTCCATCAACAAATGAATGGACAAATAAAATGTTGTATATATTATACAATGAAATATTATTCAGTCACAAAAAGAATGGAATCCTGTCCTTTGCAGCAACATGAATGGAACTGGAGGTCATTATGTTAAGTGAAACAAGCCAGGCACAGAAAGATAGATATGTTTTCTCACTCAGATGTGGGAGCTAAAAAAACTGATCTCATGGAGGTAGAGTGCAGAATGGTGGTTACCAGCTGCTGGGGGGCTGGGGAGATAGAGGTTAATGGGTATAAAAATAGAGTTACAAGGAATAAGTTCTAGTGTTCAATGGCACAATAGTCATTATGACTATAGTTAGCAATAACTTATTCATTATTTCAAAATAGCTAGAAGATGTGAAATGTACTCAACACAAAGAAATGATAAATGTTTGAGGTGATGGATATCCTAATTACTCTTATTTGATCATTATACATTGTATGCATGTATCAAAATATCTCATGTACCTCATAAATACGTACAATTATGTATCAATTTAAAAAGTAAAATTAAAAATACATTTAAAAACATGATATAAAAACCTAGAAAAAATATTAAAAAGGGAATCAAATAAAGAGGAAATTCAAAATATCCTATAACTATTAAAGAAGCTGAATCAGCAGCTAAAAAGTATCTCCACAAATAAGACACTAGGATCAAATGATTTTACAGGAGAGAGCTACCAAGTACTTGAGGTTCAGTTAACTCTAATCTTACATCTCCAGAGATGAGAAAGAGTGAAAACTCCTCAAATTATAATTATTAAAAGTTAGTTTAACATGATATCAAAACCATAACAAGGACAGGAAGGGAAAATTATCAGACATTCTTACTCATGAAATAGATACAAAATTCTAACCAAAATATTAGCAAACTGAATCCAACAACGTGTAAAGTAAGGAAATAATACGTCATGCTCAAGTTGGGTTTATCCCAGGAATGCAAATGATCATCAGGCCCTAGCTTGTACAACAGGGTGATGGTGGTGCTGTTTACAGAGAAAGGAAGCATGGAAGTCTGGGGCTAAGATCACAAGAAGGAATATGCACCGAACGCAGGGAGCTTTGACTACCCAGGTAGGGCTGTCCAGGCAGCAACTGCCAGTGCCGGTCTGGAGACAGCACTGAGAATCACCAGAATAGATGTGGCACCACAAGTCCCACATGCAGGAAACAGTGAAGAGAGAAAAGGACCAGGTCTGAATCCTAGACAAGCCCAGTGTTTAAGGAAGAGGAAGAGGATTCCCTAAAAAGACTGGCCAGAAAACGAGGAAAAGAAAAATCCAGGAAGACAAGAAAGATGATGATTCAAAGCCATGCAATGAGATAAAAAGGGGACTGAAAAATTCCATCACTGGGGCCCACTATGACAGGACAGTTTCAGGATGTGGTGAGGGAAGAGGCCAGACCATTGTGAGCAGATGTGTGACTAGACAAGAGAAAACAGGAATAAGAAGCGTGGCTGATGCTTACAAGACTGGCTGAGGAGGGACACAGGGAGTATGCGAGGGCAAAGGGAGAAGCTGATGAGAGGATTAACAAATCTTAGACCATGGAGACAGGAAAAAGGAGAGAGGGTGGTGAGAAAAACTACAACATAGTTTTTGTCCTCCATATTTCCAGAATGGAAAGATCAACTGTTCTTTAGTCACAGTCCCAAGGCATCCTAATTGATGAGTGATAACTTGCTTTTTTTGTTATTGTTAATTTTTAAGTTCAGGGGTACATGTGCAGGATGTATAGGTTTGTTACATAGGTAAACGTGTGCCACAGTGGTTTGCTACACACATCATCTCATCACCTAGGTATTAAGCCCAGCATCCACTAGCTATTCTTCCTGATGCTCTCCTTCCTCCCCATCACTCTCCAATAGGCCCCAGTGTGTGTTGTTCCCCACCATGTGTCCATGTGTTCTCGGCTCCCACTTACGAGTGAGAACATGTGGTACCTGGTTTTCCGTTCCTGCATTAGTTTGCTGAGGATAATGGCCTCCAGCTCCATCCATGTCCCTGCAAAGGACATGATCTCATTCCTTTTTATGGCTGCATAGTATTCCATGGTGTATATGTACCACATTTTCTTTATCCAGTCTATCACTGATGGGCATTTAGGTTGATTCTATGTCTTTGCTACTGTGAATAGTGCTGCAATGAACATACATGTGCATGTATCTTTGTTACAGAATGATTTATATTCTTTTGGATATACACCCAGTAATGGGATGGCTGGGTCAAATGGTATTTCTGCCTCTAGGTCTTTGAGGAATTGCCAGACTGTCTTCCACAATGGTTGAACTAATTTACACTCCCACCAACAGTGTAAAAGCGTTCCTGTTTCTCCACAGCCTTGCCAGCATCTGTTCTTTTTTGACTTTTTAATAACAGACATTCTGACTGGTGTGAGATGGTATCTCACTGTGGTTCTGATTTGCATTTCTCTAATGATCAGTGATGTTGAACTTTTTTCATATGTTTGTGGTGACTTGCTTCTGAGGTTGATTATGCTTCTGAACATTGGCAAACAGCAACAGCCTCCGTCCAGTGACCATGCTTCCATGGTTAAAGGTGAACCAGTCCTTGAAAGCCCACCTATCCCTAACCTCCACATTCACCTAAATGAAGAAGGTAAGAAGCAGAAGGTATTGAGGAAAGGCCCCAGGTGACATGAGTATAAAAAGTTAAAATGGGGCCATGGGTCTCGGACAAGAGGGAGTACACTGGCCCCCTGGGAACAGAGGAAAGGAGCAGGCTAACAAGACACTGCAGCAGCTGCACAGCCCCTTACAACTACCCTTCAGGTCACATGCACAGAGAACTGGAGACTTGGAAAGGCTGTATGATTTGTATAGGAGCCAGGAATCAATCCACCTCTGTCTGACTAGAAGGCTGATGTTCTTCAACATAGTCTCCCCATTTGTCCTCCTTTAAACTTTGATAGCATTTCTGGGATCATCTCATGTCACTTTCCACACTCTGGCTTTCAGTTGTTATATGTGGGTTTGTTTCACTTACATCCACCTTACTCTAGAATTGAAGTTCTTTGTGTAGCCCTACAGGCTTTCACATGGCAAATGCTCACTGAAGAAGTGAATACGTTTATAATGACCAAATCTGTTACATGCCAACTTGCTTTCAACAGTGCTTTTGCAAATGTCTTTCATGAGTGATACAGTCCATCCCCACTCCAATCTTCTGTGCAGCATGCATGTGCTCAGCACTCCTCTGCCATACACGTTACAAAGGCAAAGCCACATTGCACATCTCATTTACCACAAGCTCCAAATTAGTAAATTTAGTCTTACTAAAGAGATTTCACCACCTTTGCAGGTATGAGACCAAAAGCCTCTTCTTACCTGAATTTTGATGGGCCAGGTGAAATTACTGACATAAACAAAGAAAGTGATATTTGGGTGGTTGCGAAAATCAAACTTCTCATTAGAGAAACTATCTTTGTACTCCTTAATGTTGGTTTTTGAAACAACAGGCATCTCTTCTCCAGCCTGGGTTCCAGCTGTTAAAAGAAAAACATGAAAGAGAAGAGACATTTTTTGGGGGGCTAGGGGGAGAACAGAATCTGGCCTCATTAATAATAAGGACAATAGCATTTATCAAACATTTCCTGTGTTCCAGTAATAGCCTTTAAGAGCTCAATCTCATTTAATCCTCACAGCTGCCCTATTATTATCTTCATTTATAGACTGGGAAATTGAGGTTCACAGAAATTAAGTAACTTCCCTCAAGTCACACAGCCAACAAGAAATGGAGATAAGATTTAAAGCTGGGCAGGCTGATATACAAGCCTATGCCCCTAACCAAAATGGTTTTACTGGCCGGGTGCGGTGGCTCACATCTGTAATCCCAGCACTTTGGGAGACCGAGGCGGGTGGATCACCTGAGGTCGGAGTTTGAGACCAGCCTGACAAACATGGAGAAACCCCGTCTCTACTAAAAATACAAAATTAGCCAGGCGTGGTGGCGCATGCCTGTAATCCCAGCTACTCAGCAGGCTGAGGCAGGAGAATCGCTTGAACCTGGGAGGCAGAGGTTGCAGTGAGCCAAGATTGCGCCATTGCACTCCAGCCTAGGCAATAAGAGCGAAATTCCGTCTCAAAAAAAAAAAAAGAAAGAAAGAAAAATGGTTTTACCAGGAATCCATGTAACTCCCTTCCACCCTTGCCCCACCCCCAAACAGGTGACACACATGATCATGAAAATACAGATACCACTAGAATCCTATTAACAAGCACTGGCATTCACTTTGCCCACACCACTTCAATTCCTTTGCATTTCCCCTTTACACCTCCTTGGCAATGCGCCAGACTCCCATGCCAGTAATGCTGATGTACCGCTCACTGCCTAACCCACTGTAGCAGGGAGGAGGGGTTCAAGGGGTCACTCAGTCCTCCCTTCTACCACCAGCTACCACAGTATTTAAGTCCCCCTAATCTGGTATAACTCCATCCTATTCCCAGAGAGTCCTTCAATGTTCCACATTCTCCCTTAGCCAGGAATTCAAGTGCCGATAAAGATTAATGAAATGGACTTTTTTCCATGTCTGAGTTAGACCCTGTGACTAGAGCCCACATTATCACGTCTTCATTGAGACACTCATGGCAAATCTTTTTTTTTTTTTTTTTTTTTTTTTTTTTTTTGAGATGGAATTTCGCTTTTGTTGCCCAGGCTGGAGTGCAATGATGCAATCTTGGGTCACTGCAACCTCCGCCTCCCAGGTTCAAGCAATTCTCCTGCCTCAGCCTCCCAAGTAGCTGGGATTACAGGCACGCCCCACCACACCCAGCTAGTTTTGTATTTTTAGTAGGGACGGGATTTCACCATGTTGGTCAGGCTGGTCTTGAACTCCTGACCTCAGGTAATCCACCTGCCCCAGCCTCCCAAAGTGCTAGGATTACAGGCATGAGCCACCGCCCGGCTCATTGCAAATCTTTCACATGCCTGGAGATGTTGCCTTTCTCCAAATACTCTGATAATTCAGACTTTTTCTTAAAAGTCCCTCCTCATTGAGAGTTTCTGAACTTTTCTCAAATTCTACACAATGTTTTAAGATGATAAACGTAAGTGGCGTGTACAAGGCAATATTCTTATTTTGCATCAATCTCATTGCTTTGTGTTTTTGATTTTAAAAAACCCAGTATTGTAATAGTAATAATGATAAAATATAGTTACCATTTACCACATTTCAAGCACTATATTGAGTACTTCATTTATTATCTCATTTAATTCTCACATCACTCTACTTGGGAAGGTGTTTTTTTATTTTTTTTTTTTGAGATGGAGTTTCACTCTGTCACCCAAGCTGGAGTGCAGTGGCGTGATCTCGGCTCACAGCAACCTCTACCTCCAAGGTTCAAGCGATTCTCCTACCTCAGCCTCCTGAGTAGCTGGGATTACAGGCACGTGCCTCCACGCCTGGCTGATTTTTGTATTTTTAGTAGAGACAGGGTTTCACCATGTTGGCCAGGCTGGTCTCAAAACTCTTGACCTCAGGTGATCTTCCCACCTTGGCTTCCCACAGTGCTGGGATTACAGGCATGAGCTATCACGCCCTGCCAGGACGGTGTTTTTACTATCCTACTTTATACAGGAGGAAACTGGCTCAGAAACCTTAAGTAACTTGCCTAACAGCACGGTGCAAGTAAATTTAATGGACAAATTTCAAACCCATATCTACTTGTTGAGTTATCAAGTTAAGTAGTGATTATCCTTTTTTCTTTTTTTTTTTTTTTTTTTAAAGAGATGGGATCTTGCTCTGTTTGCCCACACTGGAGTACAATGGTGCGATCATGGCTCAGTGCAATCTCCAACCCCTGGGCTCAAGTGATCCTCTCATCTCAGCCTCCTGAGTAGTTGGCATTACAGGTATGAGTCACTACACCTGGGTTTTTTTTTTTTTTTTTTTTGTAGACAGGGTCTCACTATGTTGCCCAGGCTGGTCTTAAACTCCTGAGCTCAAGCAATCCTCCTGCCTCAGTCTCCCAAAGTGTTGAGATTAAAGGCATGAGCCACAGCACTTGGCCTTCATCCTTTATTTCTTTAGATTTTCTATACAGTAGATCTTCAGTGAATCACAGTAAGGCAGACAGCAAGAGCTGTGCTTTTAGAGCTTGATGTAATTCCCAAGTTACATTTCTCTGTACCTACTAAAATCTCATTTTATTTAAAATGTTTTCATTTATTGAAACGAATCATTTGAATTTTTCACTTCCGAAGCACGAATGTAGACAATGATGGTAGTGCCAGTGGCCACAGCAAGAACAGAAATGGTGGTGGTGGGCTAGGGTAGTAACCACACACTGAGCCTGACACCACAGCAAGCTCTGGTAGGTATAACCTAATTTAATCTATACAACAATTCTAAGAGGTAAGTATCATTATCCTCACTTTACAGATGAATAAAATAATGCTAAGGTTTAGAGAGGGATTTAGATACTTGCTCAAGGTCTCATAGCTAGTAAGTGGCAAGGGTGGGTTTCAAACCAATCTGTCTCCTGAGCTCGCTTTCTCAATTCCTATATTACATTTCTTAATCTACCACACCTTCATTTGCGGGGTCTTCTCTAGGTATGTCTTTACCTGAGAAACTGGCAGCCCAGGTGATGTTGAGGTTGAAATTCTTGGAGGCATTGATGAACATGTCCAAATCCCTGTTTTGCTGATGAGCGGTACAAATTATTAGAAAATTAATTAAAACAATTTCTAGATTTTAAAATAAAGCAATAAAGTTTACTCCTCTAAATGTTCTTAATCACAAACATTTTATGATGTCTTTAGAGAAACTCACAGAAGAGTTAGCAAAATTTCTAACCAATTTTCCTTAATACAAGCAATATATGCCAATAAAATTTTATTCCCTCCCATTAAAGTATACATAATTTAATGCTTTATCAAATGCCTAACTGCATGAGAAAGTGCCTTTTAAAAAGACCCCTATCAGAGCACAGTGATTTGCATCTCCTGACCTGTGCTGGGGAATCACCCTCCTAAGGATTCTCTGGGCAGCTGTTTTCAAATGTCTGAAGTTCACTCCTACCAATAAAACACTTGATCAAGTGCCCAAAATTATATTTATTTATAACTGAAACCCATATAATTCTAAACTCATAGATTATATACAGTGTAAAACTTCTCCAAAACTGGAAACAGCCTTTAAAAAAGGCATATAGAGCTGAAATGTACTTAATTTAAAAAATAATTTTATTATATTCATGATTTGAAAAATATTTTTCTCTTACTAAAAATATTATTTCAAGAGAAATATGATTGAGTATGGCTTCTTAGTTTTGAAAACCTTGTCTACCACTTAGAGATATAGCAGTTCACAGGGCTAATCTAACTTAATTTATTTTGATCCTTGGTCTTAATGACTAATAAAGATATTGCTGAGGAATCTGTTAAGCCAGTGGAGGAAGTGTACTGTTGGTGATGTTAGGTAAATTATAACATTAATAATTAGTCAAACTGAAATTTGACTAGTACATCTCTTAACTGGGGTCAAACAATTATTTTTGCAAACTAATCAATGTTATATTTTTATCTTTTACAGATGCATCCGACTGTACTGAAATTATTCATTTTTAAAAGATCTTGAGAGGTTAGAATAAGATTTTTAAGGGTGTTGTTTTGATCATTTTAATAGCACAAAATCACAACAATGGAAACATTTCCAAACAGCTATTTTTAAAATGTGATCATTAAACCAGAAGTTTCTCTCACAAAGCATTTACCTTCTCATTTACTGATAAGACCTCACCTTCATCTTGAAAGGACAGCTCAAGTGTTTACTTATTTGTATTTAGTATTTGCTGGCAGCACACAACTAACAATTACAGTCATCCTTTGGTATACGTGGGTCATCGGTTCCAGGACCCCCTGAGCATGCCCAAATCCACACATACTCCAGTCCGCAGTCTGCCCATAGAACCCTTGCATATGAAAAGTCCACCCTCTGTATACTCAGGTTTCACATCTTGCAAATACTGTATTTTCATTCCACGCTTGGTTGAAAAAAGTCTACGTGTAAGTGGATCCTCACAGTTTTAACCTGTATTGCTCAAGGGTCAACTATATGTCTTTCCACAGAAAGAATCAATAAACTTAAAATGCTTGTGGTTTTATAGAGGACAGAACATATGCATTTGGATAACTCTAGTAAGTATTCTGTCGTAAGATAAACTGGGAAATCCAGAAAGGTCCAAATACTTTCATGGTTGCTTCCCACCTGGTTAAGAAGTATTACAAAGATTCTACTATATTTATTTTTTTAATGACATTAATGGCATGAAGTATATCCTGAAAGATTTTGAGCACTTCAAACGCTTGCTTATGAGGCAGTGAATACATTTCATATATGGTACTTTTGTTAAAATCTTATTCTAAAATCGTTAAGAAAAAAATTCCAGTCAATACAGCCACTCAAATGATATATTAATACCTATAGTTTTTCCATAAAATAATTCATTTAAAGTAATTTATTATTTTTACTTAAAAAGCAATTTACTTTTGAGAATGTATCTTTTCTAGTACATTTTTTCTTAATTTTATCTTTGAAATAGAATATTAAAAACAAATCCTATTTTCATTTACTTGTATAGTAAACATACCACACTATAGACTTTGTTCTACTTTTAAAATTAAATTTAGCAATGTTTATAGATAACATTTGTTAACAAAGCAATATACTTTGTCTTACTGCCATATTGTTTTCCATGTATTATTTGTCACATTTATTGTTAATGGAATTTTGTAATGGTAAATGGCTTTGTGTATGTTCATGAGAAGTAAGAAATCTCCAAGGAAGTTCCTAAATAATTTACCATTATGTTTAGCAAAATTTCTTTAAATACTGAAGTGGGTACTGCATGACTTTATATTTCATTGAAGAAACTGTACAGGTGCATCTTCGTGTTCTGTATGTTTCAGTTTTAAATGTCCCGCAGTGTGGCCTTCCTTCTACCACTAGGTAATACCTTAAGGCAGGTTGGGCTTCATCGTTAATGACAGCAGATAAAAAAATCCACATTTTACATACATATTTTAACAATTTAAATTATTCCTGGCTAACTTCTTAATGGACCCGACTAAGCCTTTGCTGTTTTGCCTCCTAATGAGGCTAAGAACTCACTCTAGGAGCAGAGTGTCCCCTCCCTTGCTGTCTGATTGGGGTCCCCTCCCTTGCTGTCTGATTGGGGTCCCCTCCCTTGCTGTCTGATTGGGGCTGCATCACTGGCATTTCAATCAGCAGTGTCTTTAAGCCTCTGGTCACTCTTGAGAGAGTAAACCCAGGCTCTGCTATCTGCCCTCTGATGGTGGAGTCCCCTTTCTGTATGAGGCCATGATGGGCTGACAGGCAGAGTAAGTATGCGTGGAATCAATGTCAGTCTGTGTCTAAGATCCTGGTAAATCTTATTAACATCACTTTTGCCTTTTATGTGGAAAGGAGATAACGTAGAGTCTAACATTTCTTTCCTATACCTCTAGAGATCATCTCGTGTACTCCAGTCTGGAGAGCACTGTTAAGGCAGTACGTCCATCCGTAATGACCAAGAAAAAGATCCATACAAATTCAAAACAAAATAGGAAGACTTTAAAAAATCTTACTTCGTCAGGAGTAGCCACAAAATTGATAGCTGTGTAATAGCGATCATCTTCCTGGGATAGACTAAAGGTGAACTGATAGTCAATAAGAAGAGTATCTATGGAAAGAAAGAAATGCATATTTAAAAACTAAACACACACAAAATAGAACAGGTCTTTAGAGATACAGGCTGCTTTTCTTATAAATTAAGTAACGAGGAAAGCACTTTAACTCAGCTGTACCCAGGTTCCTCAAAGAAAATCAAGTCTGTGGGCAGTATCATTTTATTTGGGTTAACCCATCAAACCGCTTTAAAGAAATGACCAGTTGTCCAGTTTCAGCATAATATCAAGTAACGTCCATAATTATCTGAAAAGGCTATTAAAAGGGTATCACTATACCCTTTTCCAACTGCATGCCTGGTAAGGCCAGGTTTTTTTCATGTGTTTAACCAAAAAGATGTACTGCAACAGACTGAATGCAGAAGCAGACATGAGATTACCACTGTCTTCTAAAAAGCCATGGCATTAGCGTTGGATTCTAATCACTTTAGGGCTGTATCTGACTGTGGTTTTAAAATCTCCATTCCAAATAACGAATGATGTTAAGTCGTTTTTAATGTGCTTATTGGCCACTGTAATATCTTCTTTCATGAAATGTCTTTTCAAATCTTTGCCTGTTTTTAACTGGAATTGTCATCTTATTCAGTTGTAAGAGTTCCTCATGTATTCTGGATATAAACTCCTTATCAAATATATGATGATGTGCGAGTATTTTCTCTAGTCTGTGGCTTTTTATGTTTTGGATGGTTTTTTCCTACAAGTTTTAAATTTTTATATAGTTTCATTAGTCTACTTTTTATTTATGAATTATGCTTTTAGAATCCTATCTAACAACTTTTCCCCACCCAAGGTCAAGATGTTTTTCTCTTGTTTTCTTTTAGAAGTTTTATATATATATATATGAAGTCATATTCACAGGTTCCAAGTGGACATGAATTTTGAAGGGATGTTATTCAACCCAGTACAGCAGGTATATAATTACAATGGATATGCCATAACATTAACTCCTTTTTTCTGGTCCCGTACTCTGGTCTACCATGTGGATTCTCCCATAAAGAGAAAACACATTTACCCATAAAAACATGGTCACCTTGTCAGACTCACCTTTCACCTCAAGGTGGTTAACACAAATCAGTTCCAGACAGAATGACAAAAAGTTCAACCATATTGTAAGAATTCTGTTTTTGATCTACATCCTAAAACACGAAATATGATGACCCCAACTAGGTAATGGCAAATAAAGTAAAGTTTTAAGAGAACATAAATGTGGATAGACAAAGATGCATGCCTCTCTACTCTCTCCTGCTATCTGCTATGGACACATTAACGTTAACCCCAAACACAATTAAAACAGCTTAAAACAGTGCTCCTATATGTAGTAAACTTAACAGAATGTAAACATATCAAGTCTGGGAACACTTCATTGGTGGCTGCTATAGTCTTATAGCACTTACTATTCTCAAACCCGTTTAAACAATGAAGTTTTACTGAACTACTTTGCTTCTAGAAATAAGAATTGCAAAACCACTTACAATAACATGTTCCTCTGAGAGGGTTTCCTTGGTATCGATTTTCTACCTCACATCTGGGGGGGAAAAAAGACTATTTTATACTGCTATTTAAAACAGAAACTGAATTCATTTTAAAACCAAACAGATCCTTTTATATAAAGTACAGATAGTCTGGAGCCATTATAATTGCATCCTTCACCATAACTCAGCTCAGGCAGTCTAGGAAGAGCATGCATGAACGCTTCAATACTGACTGCTCAGCAGTTCACACACCAACTATATGAGGACAATTGACAAGCATTTGCCAAAGCAATGAGAGAAATCCAAATGTAATAAACCTATTTACTATAATGAAAAACATTTTCAATTTTGTGTGGACTACATATTCTTCTAAAAGTGCAGTCAAAACATTTTTCAAATACTAATTTCTCACTTCTTTCCTATGTTCCCTGGATAAACTAATTCTCTTCTTTAAACACAAGTGAGAGAAGACTAAATACCAAGAATCACTGTTTTTTTAAACCCTGGAACAAGTGTTCACCAGTCTGTAGAAAAAAAATATGTTCTACTCAGAAAACAATTTCCCCATACAGATCATCTATAAACATCAGCAAAACCCAGCCTCCCACTTCATGAAGCATTTAGGTAAACACAACAGCTATGCATGAAGAGGAAAGGGCGGGAAGTGGGTAATGGCCTTTCCCAGGCAGGTATGCTGTGTCCCTTTAGCCAGGGTGATGAGCAGCACCTGCCTACATCTGCGATCTCGAAGGAACTTGAAAGTCTTACTTGATGCCACCTCATGTCTTTGTTGCATCAGCTAACTGAGGGTAAGAGTGATTAATTTTGCTCGATGACATTTTTCTGTTTAAGGGAATGTGGACCTAAAAGTTAAATTTAACCTTGGATTAGACTTTTCTTCACATATTGGCTTTAGGGCAACATGAAGCTAGTAAACATATATGCAGATATAAACTAAAAAGTAGACAGACCAAACCCTGCTGAGTAGCACCAGCAATGATGTCTCAATCACTGGTGGCATTATTACTACTGTTATTTAAGAAATAATGATGTTTACAATGATTAATCAGCTCAGTGTTTTGACACTAAACACTTTTTAAGTTTTTTCTTGAGAATGAGTAAATGCGGATACATGCATTTTATGAGGTTTCCCAGTGAGACAGCCCGGTATACATTGATTGAGGAACTATCCTTCCTGTTTCAACCTACCAGGACACCAAAAACAATTACTGCTAGTCCCACTACTGACAGATGGGGGGAACAGTGATTTGCCTCAAGAGCACCTTGCTCAGTGGAGGCAGGGCCAGGTCTGAAACCTTAAACATGCCTGATGCTGCTGCACCTGCATCCTCATGGATGGGGACTTCAAACCCTCTCCAGGAAGATGCCTGACATGCTTCAACAAGGAAAATGCTAGAGTAATGGGAAATGTTAAAGGTAAGAGGATCATTTCCACAATCAGACAACCAAACGCCAAATAAATGCCATCACCAAAACACCAGCTCTTCCATCTCTACTCTTTGGGAAAGAGTATAATCTCTTGACATGACAAAAATCAAGTAGTTGCTGAAGTTAAAATGACTACTCCAAATGGACAACCCAGGAAATGTCAGTATCATTTAAACAAAAATGTGAATTCAAGAGCCATTAAGGAATTGCTGCTAACTCGACGACCTCCTCATTTTGGGGACTGACCTGTCTGAAATAGAATGGGCAAAATTTCAAACTAATCAACCCAGGGATCCCTCAGAGCCCACAGCAACAAGACACAGGGAAGTGGGTGGCTCTCAGGGTGGGGTTCAGGCAGCTGCACAGCCTCTTGGTCCTCCCTGGTGGTCCAGGGAGTATGGTACTCACAGCTGGCACTCGTCCCCCTTGACGCCCTTGGTGGTGCAGAAGCACTTGCCCGTGTTGGTGTTGCACAGAGACGCGTGCCCATTGCACTTGCATGCTGCAGAGAAGAAAAAGGAACAGAGGTCACAACTGGCTTAAAAAATTCTGACTATTGGAGACTTTTTCCAAAACAAGCAATTTTATCTGAATTGAGTTCAGTAGGAAAGACAGATTAAAGTACGAGCATTCAATGGGTAAGATTCATGATTTTTCAGCTAATGATAATAATGTATAGGTAACATTAAAGGAACCAAACAAAGGACAGGAGGAAAGTGAATGCTGGTACCCACTGCCTTCTGAAGCAATGACTATTTTGATCTTTTCAATAGACTCTCTTTTTCACTGCTATGATTCTTTGATTCATTCAATAAATATTTGTGAAGCATCTCTAGAATGCCAGGTGCTGGGTGTGGGGACACAGACATAGCTGCTGCCCCTAGGGAGGTGCTCTGGAGGTGACTGTCCTCTGAAGGAGGGCTGGTCTTGGCTGAGGTGCCTTCTCCACGATGGTCACATTTGGAATCACCGCAGGGCTCAGAACCAGGATCCAATGCCAAGGTCAGCGCTTTAGGGGCCCTCAGGACATGCCACCCTTGCTTCACCTTTTCCTTTGCCTTTACAGAAAATAGCTCTTCCCATCTCCCTCATCTGGCCAACTCAACATCTCTCCTTTTATCATCCAACGTAATACAAGCCGTGATAAATATTATACTCCAGTTGAAAAAAGTGAAAGCCTTTTTGGTCAACACCTTTTCACTTTATACCCTGTTTTGCTGGTGAATAAATGAAAGGCATTCAGCTGGAGAGAGGTATGCTTTAAAAATAAATCCTTTGGAATCACCCAAAGAAAACTATAAAACAGAATAGTGCAGAGATTAACAGAATGGATGCTGAAGTCAGAATCATGAGTGTCTGACACTTGGCTCTGTTGAGACTGGGGGAAGGTGTGTAATGTATAGTGAAAAGCAAAGGCCTTACGTCCATCTGCCTGGGTTTGAATTCAGCGTCCTCTACTTGGCTCTTCTGTCACTCTGGGAATGCTACTTAACCTTTCTGAGTTTCAGCTTCCTTGTCCATATGATGGGGATAACAACAGTACCTATCTCATAGGGGTGTTTGTGATGATATGTATATGATGTCTCAAACACAGTAAGCATTCAAGAAATCATGGCTACTATCGTTACCTAAGGACTATACAATTTTAAGAAGAAAACATCAAAGACTTGGTGCCATCTGCAGTATTCTATAAACACCACGCTTTCTACCGTGGATTAGGACTCTGAAAAATAAGGCAAATTGTACTCAGGCCCTGTAGATCTCACAGAGGAAAATGTGATGCTTCTAGATAGCAGCTGCTGATGTGGGTATGATGGCATCTGGAAGCACAACCAGCCAAGTAATTAAGGTCAGCACAGACTGGGCGTGGTTCTTAGCTTGGCCACATCTCACTGTGAGACCCTGGGCAGTTTACTTGATCTTGGGGATAATAAAAGCACCTGTGTCTTGAGTGGGTAACAGCACAATGCCTTGTACACTCCACCACTCTGTTAGGTACTCTGGTTACTGTCTAACGGATTAAGTCTATTCACAAAGAGTGGGGAAAACATTTTCACCAAATACCTTTTAATCTGAGCAAGAACTTTTACTTAGGAGTAGTGGAGAATGGCATTAGAAGGGTAATAAGAATTGCCCACATCTACTAAGTATTGACTAGTATCCTGTGGAACATGTGTCATGTGCTGCTCTGCTTTCATCTTAACAACCACCCTATTATTAGGAGGAAACTGAACCCCAGGGAGAGTAAGGGACACACAGCTAGAACGCTGCCTCTCTCCTGGCTGGTCTTGGATCAGATCAGATTCTGAAGGGCCATGCCAAAGAGTTTGGAGTTGGGATCTGGGGAGTAGGTAGAGATTTCCCTATGTTGTTTACTTTTCCTGCTCAGAACTTTGAAAAGTCTTTCGACTATAGTACTCATTATGTTTTTTGGCTGGAAACTAGAATAAAAAAAGCAGTTCATTAATATCACTTGTCATAATTTTTGTTCTCATAATAAAATGTCCTATTGCTTGCAGGCTTCTATTTGACATAAATGGGGAAACACAGGACTTTTTTTTTTTTCTTTTTTTTTTTTTTTGAGACTGAGTCTCACTCTGTTGCCCAGGCTGGAGTGCAGTGGCGTGATCTTAGCTCACTGCAACCTCCGCCTCCCAGGTTCAAGCAATTCTCATGCCTCAGCCTCCTGAGTGGCTTGGATTACAGGCCCCCGCCACCATGCCCAGCTAATTTTTCTATTTTTAGTAGAGATGGGGTTTCACCATGTTGGTCAGGCTGGTCTCAAACTCCTAACCTCAAGTGATCCACCTGCCTTGGCCTCCCAAAGTGCTGGGATTACAGGCGTGAGCCACTACACCCAGCCAACACGGGACTATTTAAACCTTTAAAATACACTATAAGTATTGAGGAGTCTGGCTCCTGGTTAAAAAGCCCGTGTGTGATTTTTCAGGCCTGACCACAGGCAATGCCACAGGCTTTACCTGGCAGAGCATGACCTGTGAGGTGGGCCTAAGTGTGGGGCTCTGAGAGAGGTGCAGTTAAGGACTCAGGTCTACCTCACGGGTCACGCTCCTTCACATGTTCACATTCCTAGCCCTGGAGCCTTTATTCCCAGGCTCCCTATCTGAGGCCTTGGGCTGAGGTCTTCTTCAGGCACCAAGGCCTCCTGATGGGGGGAGGAGGGGGAATTCAGAAGACACTTTCCTAACTCTGACTCCAACCCAGGACTTTCCCAGTCCTAGCCCTTACACCTTGCCCTTCCCACAACCTTAGTGTCCATATACTGCTGGAACCTTTTGTCCGGGCCTCAGTGAGATGAGCCCCAAGACTCCCATGTCTGAGCTGATCCCTCTGACTATTGACCTGTGCCCTGTTCAATGGGAGGAAAGGAAACAGGGGAAGTTGGCACTTTCTCTGGTTTTGGGCCCTTGCTTATACCACTGCAGAATGTGGTCAAAGGCTTGACTCTAACATTTTTGGCTTGTTGCTTTAACCAGCTACACTGAAACCTTGGTTCTTTCTTCCAGCTCAGCTGAGCTTCTGACCAGTATGATTTAATAAGAAATGTGGTATCCAAAACAAAGTGGCTTTTTTCCTCCTAGATATTCAAGTCAAATAGAAGTGCTGTGTTCCACACCGATTTGCCATGAGTAAACCTGACCAATTTGACTTACGCTGACATTTCCCTCCATTGGTGGGATCACCGTAGAAGCCAGATATGCAGGTCTCGCAGTGCTTGCCTGTGGTCAGGTTCTCACACTTCTCACAGATGCTCTGATTGATGCATTTACTGTGGCCGTTGCATTGGCAAGCTGCAAGAAAAAGAGTTTCAAGGGGTCTGTACCATGGAAGAACTGCATGTAGTTAAGTTCAATAAGATTTATCTGCAACTATCTCTGTAGTTAATTTATCTTTGATAAATCACCAAAACTGGCCCACTAAAAACTAATTTGAGAAATAAGATAAAAAATATCAAAGAAGAGCTAGTCCAGGAAAATTGAAAATGTATCACAGCAAGGTGAAAGCCCATAGTGATATTAAAAAATATTTTTTGTTGTTATTCACTAAAAAATAACGTATGCTCATGACAGTATACTTAAAAAATAGAAGGATGGGGAAAGATCATATACAATCCAACCACTCAGAGACCACTGTTCACATTTGATATATTTTCTTCTGGTATTTTTCTATACCAGAAGAACATAATTTGCACAATTATGTTCATATTAATATTCACCTTTCTTAACTTAGATCACAACTATTTTACCACCTTATTTCATCAATTATAAACAAAACTTCAAATGGTAGAATGATTTTGATGAATCTTAACAGTTATTTAACCATTCCCTTATATTCTAATATTTAGTTTGCTTTACATTTTTCATTATTAGAAAAATAACCATCTTTACGGATAAACATTTCCACAAGTGGGATTACTAAGACTCCTAATGGATATAGGGCTTTACAACTAGAAAGGTATATGAAGCTTGGACCTCTGAGGACTGCTCAGGACAGCTGCACAGGCTGTGCACTGCAGAACTCTAGGGGGGAATAGGATGGGGGAAACATTTACATAGTGCACAACCTGCACTGTAAGCAAAATCTGATTCTTCAGATCTGCCTTGGTTGATCAGTGTGATGCAGTTTTTCACCATCTTGGCAACCTTCCATAGCCTTGTACTTGTTCTGTTTATGCACCTGTTAGTATTTGAGTGTTTGAAAGAAAACTCAGCTGGGTGTGGTGGCTCATGCCTGTAATCCCATCACTTTGGGAGGCCAAGGTAGGTGGATCACCTGAGGTCAGGAGTTCGAGATCAGCCTGGCCAACACAGTGAAACCCTGTCTCTACTAAAAATACAAAAAATTAGCCAGAGGTGGTGGCAGGTGCCTGTAATCCCAGCTACTTGGGAGGCTGAGGCAGGAGAACCGCTTGAACCCGGGAGGCAGAGGTTGCAGTGAGCCAAGAAAGCACCATTGCACTCCAGCCTGGGCAACAAGAGTGAAACTCCATCTCAAAAATAAAAGCAAGCAAGCAAGCAAGAATGAAAGAAAACTCAAGGCAATGTGCCAGCTATCTTTAGGTGGCCCTACCACCCAAGGCTGGGAGGCACTTGCCACACCCATGAACATGCTAATTGCACCCAGCCACCCAGGTCCATTGCTCCTTCCTTCTTCCAATGAGGGAGATGCGCACACCAGTCAACAACAGTCGAAGTGGACCAGAGCTGGAGTGTCCTGAGGCTGGCTTGCTAGCTTTTCCAGGACATCATACCACACTTTCACAACAGCTCAGCACACCCAACCACTGACCAATATTGACAGATCTACACATTTAGTTATTAATACAAATTAACCTTGAGGATTAACCAGTATAAGAAAACTCTCAATCTCCGAATACCACCAGGATAAACACGCACAGCAACAAATCCTGAAGGAAGGGTTAATGCAAGAAATATGAGAGAATGAAAAATACGAATTTTAGTACATTCAATAAGGCTTAAATTATTGCATCCACAATATAAGAGAGCAAGCTCTTAAAAAAAAAAACCCTCACAATATTTAGAGCCCTTGCAAAATGTAAAAGAATAATAAAACCAAATTAGACAGAAAAAAAAATCGTTAACAGGTTAAACAGGAGACTACATATTGCTAAAGAGCAACCTGCAAGAAAATACTATGAACTGGCCGGGCGTGGTGGCTCACGCCTGTAATCCCAGCACTTTGGGAGGCCAAGGCAGGCAGATCACGAGGTCAGGAGATCGAGACCATCCTGGTCTACATGGTAAAACCCTGTCTCTACTAAAAAAAGCAAAACAAAACAAAATAAAAAATTAGCTAGGAGTGGTGGCGTGCGCCTGTAGTCCCAGCTACTTGGGGGGCTGAGGCAGGAGAATCACTTGAACCCTGGAGGCGGAGGTTGCAGTAAGCAGAGATCACGTCACTGCACTCCAGACTGGGTGAAAGAGTGAGACTCTGTCTCAAAAAAAAAAAAAAAAAAACAAAAGAAAATACTACGAACTGTATGTTAACAAATTTGATTACTGAGAATAGACAAATTCCTAGAAAAACAGATTACCAAAACTGACTCACTCAGAAAAAGAAAATCTGAATAGATCTATAACAAACAGATTGAATTAATAATTAAAAATTTTCCTGTAAAGAAAAAGGCCAGGCCCATTTGGTTTCACTGGTGAATTCAATCAACATCTAAAGAAGAATTAATGCTAATCCTTGACGAACTCTTCCAGTAAATAGAGGAGGAGGAATACGTTCCAACTTACTCTAGGAGGCCAGTACTACCCTGCTATGAAAACCAGATAGTAATCACAAAAGAAGAAAACCACAAACTTATATCCCCCTCATGAATGTACACACAAAATCCCCAACTAGCAAATAGAATCCAACAGCAGATTAAAAATATACATCATGATAAAAAAGTATACATCATGACTAAATGGGCTTTATCCCAGGAATGCAAAACTGGTTTAACATTCTTAATTAATGTAATACATAGTATTAATAAAGAACAAAACTTCGTGATCATCTAAGTAGACACAGAAAAAGTGTTTGACAAAATCTAGCACTCATTCATTACAAAACCCTCAAAAAACTAGAATAGAAGGAAACTTTCTCAACCCAATAAAGGGCATGTATAAAAAAAACTAAACAAATATCATATTTAATAAAGACTGAATTATTTTCCCCTAAAAAAAGGAACAAGACAATGATGTACACTGAAAACTATAAAACAATGCCAAAAGAAAGTAAAGAGGTAAATAAATAGACATTCCAGGTTCATAGGCTAGAAGATTTAACCTTGTTAAGATGGCAAGGGCCAGGCGTGGTGGCTCACACCTGTAATCCCAGAACTTAGGGAGGCAGAGGCAGGAGGATTGCTTTGAGCTCAGGAGTTCAAGACCAGCCTGGGCAACATGGCGAAACCCTGTCTCTAAAAAAATATAAAAATTAGCTGGGTGTTGGTAGCTCATGCCTGTAGTACCAGTTACTCGAGAGGCTGAGGCTGGAGAATCACTTGAGCCTGGGAAAGCGGAGGCTGCAGTGAGCCAAGATAGCACCACTGCGCTCCAGCCTGGGTGACAGAGTGAGACCCTCTCTCAACAAACAAACAAACAAACAAACAAACAAACAAACAGGCAATACACCCCAAATTGGTCAGTAGATTCAATGCAAACCTTATCAAACCAGTTGGCTTTTTGTTGTTGCAGAAAATGGCAAGCTCATCCTAAAATTAATATGAACATGCAAGAAACCCAGAATAGCTGTAACAGTCTTGCAAAATAAGAACAAAGGTGGAGGACTTAGCCTTCCCAATTTTAAAACTTATACAAAGCCACAGTAATCAAAACAGTGTAATATTGGCAAAAGGAGAAACATTGGTCAACTGCACAAAAATGAGAGCTTAGAAAAAAGTTCCTAGATTCACAGTCAACTGATCTGCAACAAATGTGCCATGAAAATTCAATGGTTAAAAAAAAAAAAAAATCTTTTCAACAAATGGTGCAGGACCACATCCACAGGCAAGAAGAGAGTTTGGACCCCTACCTCACACCATACACAAAAATTAACTCAAAATGGATCAAGGACCTAATGTAACACACAAATCTATGAAACTTTTCAAAGAAAACTTAGGAGCAAATCTATGTGATCCTGGGTTACTTGGGCACTGATTTTCTAGATACAATACCAAAAAGCACATGGGATAAAATAAAACATTGATACATGGAACTTAATCAAAACTGAAAACTTTTGATTTCAAAAGGCATATTAAGAAAGTGAAAAGAAACCCATATAATGGGAGAAAGTATTTGCAAATAATATATCCAATAAGGGACTTCAGAATTCATAAAGAACTCTTACAACTCAATAATAAAAAAGACAACATAACTGAAAAATGGGCAAAGAATTTGACTAAATATTTCTCCAAAGAAGATATACAAAAGGCTAACTAATGAAGTTGATGTTCAATTTCATTAGTTATCAGGAAAATACAAATGAAAACAACAGTGAGATGCCATTTCTCATCCACTAGAACAGTTTTCATTAAAAAGATAGTAACAAGTATTGGCAAGGATGTGGAAAGATATGAACCTTCATATGATGTTGGTGAGAGCATAAAATGGTGCAGCTACTCTACAAAATCTCATGCCTATTATTCCTTGTTTCCATCCCCAGCCCTAGGAAACCACTAAACATCTACTTTCTGCCTTTGGACATTTCATATAAATGGCATCATGCAATGCATAATCTTTTGTACCTGGCTTCTTTTACATAGCATGTTTTTTTAGGGTAATTCATGTCAGAAAATAATACTGCAGCTACTCTAGAAAACCTCATGCCTATTATTCCTTGTTTCCATCCCCAGCCCTAGGAAACCACTAAACATCTACTTTCTGCCTTTGGACATTTCATATAAATGGCATCATGCAATGCATAATCTTTTGTACCTGGCTTCTTTCACATAGCATTTTTTTTAGGGTAATCCATGTCAGAAAATAATGCTGCAGCTACTCTAGAAAACCTCATGCCTATTATTCTTCATTTCCATGCCCAGCCCTAGGAAACCACTAAACATCTACTTTCTGTCTTTGGACATTTCATATAAATGGCATCATGCAACGCATAATCTTTTGCACCTGGCTTCTTTTACATAGCATGTTTTTTTAGGGTAATCCATGTCAGAAAATATGTCAGTACTTCATTCCTTTTTATTGCCAAATAACATTACACTGTATGAATATACAACACTTTGTTCATCCATTTGCCAGCTAACAGGTATTTGGCTTGTTTTCACTTTTGCTTATTATGAATAATGTTGCTTTGAGCATGATGCTATGAAGAATGATGCTATAAGCATAAGCATTTATATACAAGTTTTTGGGTAACATATGTTTTCAATTTTCTTGGGTATGTACCTAGGAGTAAAACTGCTGGGCCGTATGATAACTCTATATTTAACTTTTTGAGGACCTGCCAACCTGCATGAGAGTTCCAATTTCTACATATCCTTCCAATACTTGTTATTACCTGTTTTATTGATTACAGCCATCTCAGTGGGTGTAAAGTGGTATCTCATTGTGGCTTTGACTTGCATTTCTTGGTAATGATGAATGATATTGAGTATCTTTTCATGTGCTTATTGGCCATTTGTATTTCTTCTCTGGACATATGTCTATTTAAATCCTTTATCCATTTCTTAATTGGGTTGTCTTTCTATTGTTGAGTTTTAAGAGTTACGTGTTCTGGACATTGGATTCTTATTAGATATATACTTTGCAAATATTTTCTCCCATTCTCTGGGTTGTCATTTTACCAGATATATTCGTGATATTCATGAAAAAGCAGAGATTTAAATATTTCGTTAAAAAGTTAACTCCTAGTAGATTAAAAATAGAATTGCAGGTCCCCCATATCTTAGTATGGAAAAAAGGGAACACGGAAAATTTGATCCAGTTTAGTAGACAAAAAATTGGTTCCTGGTGTTAGTTTACATTTTCCTGTTCTATTTCCTTTTCTGAGAATGGCTTCTTTATCTCCAATAACCACTTTTTCTGTTGGGTTCACATTTAGCTTCTTATTTTTTCCCTGGAGGGTGGGAGTTTACATATTCTGGATGATCATCAGTTGTTACATGCAGTGCAGGTATTTTCTCCCAGTCTGTCTCTGCCCTTTTAGCTTTGTTTACAGTGGACTTTCCCTTACAAAGTCCTCACAAACAGCCCTGTTGTCAATGGCAGGCTCTTAGAGAAGTTCTTGACTGCTAATCTCTGAGGAGTCTTTGCACCAGCCCAGCCTCTCCCAACTGTTCTAGAAACCCACAGACACATTGCTGAGTGGTCACTTCAAGTCTGAATCAAAGGCCAATTTCTTAGAATTGGTTTCTTAGGAACCCACCACCACTCTCAGCAGGTCCAGGTCAGGCCTTGGACCAGCTTCTGGTCTATTCCTTCTTGTACCAACCATTAGGAGGAAGGAAAGGGGCTGAGGGCAGGGAGTTACATATACACAACGTAGCTTTCAAGGTTTTATTCTTCATAAATCAGTAGTGAAACACTTGAATTTGGATATGCAAGGCATCTTACCTGGACAGTGAATGAAAGACCAGTTGTATCTGCTGTCCTCTAGACACATGCTGGAATTGAGCAGGGGCTGTGGATAGAAATTTCCTGTAGGGGCTTGCGAAGGCATCTTCACTGGTCCTTTATAGGAACCCTCTATGCATTTCCCTTTGCCAGTATTGCTGGGATCAGTACACCAGCCACAGCCTGGTTGCTCCAAGCAATGACTACAGGTACAGTAGCCTGAACAATTTTCAGCTATTAAAAAAAAAAAGTTGCAATTGACTATCACAGGTAGATCTGAATTCACTGTATTTACTTTTTTTTTAACAGACTATTCAACTGGCTTGAGTCAAAAATATTATTCTGTCTTGATTATTTAAAAGAGATAATGAATGTAAAGAGCCCAGTATTTTGCCCAATACATAACAGAGATGACCCTTCCCTCCTCTCTCAATCCCAGGATGTTGAAGGCAAAAGGGACCTTAGAGATTATCTATTGGAAAGCATTTACTTTACAAATTAGGAAATTCAGATATGGAGATATTACATGGATTGAGCAATATGACACTGAAGTTGGACAAGTTATTTCTGTACTCTGTGATCTATCTTACATTTATTTACTGTCAATGTGCCTGATTCTGTATGAAGGTTCTCAATAGGCAGCAAGGTCTCGATGGCAGTCTCTGGTCAGGTTTGAGCAGAGGTCATGTCCAGTCTTGTTTCTAAAATGTTCAGAGGCTGACAGCACAGCCTCATGGCTGAGTTGTTGCCTATACAGAGGGCATGCATAAGTGCCTAGGGCTCCCTTTTTCACTTACGGGGGCAGGTGCTCATCGTATACCATTCCATACACTGGCCAAAAGGGAAGGAGGCCACGTAGGCATTGGAGTCCACACACTGCTTCATGTTGCTGCACCACATGCACTCAGAGCTGCCGCTGGTGCAATCTCCACATGCTGTCCTCAAGGCACATGGTGTCCGGCACTGCTTAGCACTGTGGTTTGCTGGGAATGAAACCCAAGAGAGACACTTAGAGCTCCCACCATGTCCGCTAAGGTCAAAGACTTTTCTTTCTTTCTTTTCTTTTTTTTTTTTGAGACGGAGTCTCACTCTGTCTCCAGGCTAGAGTGCAGTGGCACAATTTCGGCTCACTGCAACCTCCGCCTCCCCGGTTCAAGTGATTCTCCTGCCTCAGCCTCCCAAGTAGCTGGGACTACAGGGGTGCGCCATCACGTCTGGCTAATTTTTTGTATTTTTAGTAGAGATGGGGTTTCACTATGTTAGCCAGGATGGTCTTGATATCTTGACCTTGTGATCCACCCGTCTTGGCCTCCTAAAGTGCTGGGATTACAGGCGTGAGCCACTGTGCCCAGCCAAGACTTTTCAAATGTGGGTGATGACCCATTAATGTGCCATGAAATCAATTAAATGAGAGAAAATAGAAAACAATAAAAGTCATCAAGTACTGTTTAGTCAAGTGTATTTACACACTTGTGGAAAAAATAAATTTTCTTTTCAAAGAGCATTAAGGACAAAGATGAGGAAACAGTGAATCTTTCCATAAAAGTAGGGCTGTAAGCCCCTTAGAATTTGGGGACCCAGGATGAACTTTAGGGGTTTTACAATCCACTTGAATATGTAAAATCTCATGTTTGCAATTTTGGAGGGAAGAAGGTCTACGGCATTCATTAAGTTCAACAAAGGATTCAGAATTCTGAAAGGCTGCTGGGCAGCTCCCCTAGAGAAGTTTAGAAATCAATATTTAGAAATCTACAATGCTATGAATTCTCTCCTATACCTCTGTAATTCCTCAGACAAATTACTTTCCCAAAATTGGACACAATGCAAATGGAGTCCAGCCTCCCAAAATAATCCACAATTCCACCGACTGCTTGTGAGTCCCTCTGCAGGAGGAGGAGGCTTATTTTGAGTTGTCTTCATGCTGCAGCAGCTACCCCTGGGCCTGCCTTTAGTTAGCCAAAATGTAGCCCAGAGAGACTGAAAGCTGGGAAGCTACTCCGAGTGTCTGTCTGCTCAGTACTCTCCTGCAGCTCTCGCGTAGTTCTGGGTTGCTTCTGTCCTCGCTTACAGAACTGCTCTCATCATTTTTCTCCCTGTTGACACTACCTTTCTGAACACTGTCCCTGCAGTCACTTGCTTGCTTTACTAATCTTTTCTTTGTTTTTATTTTCCTTTTTTGTTTCTTCTTCCACAGCATTTCTCTGCCAACACCAATAAATTTGCTTTTCAGAGCAATTCTCAATACTTTTTCTGGTCAATAAACCTATCAATCTCATTGTTAATTAGAATATCAGTTTCTTCGAGTAGTGTTAGTTATTTTTAGTTTTGCTTATAATTAAAACTATTCAGGGTCCCAGAATATTTCCTTCTGCTTCTGAAATCTGGGTTATACTCTTCTTTGCATGCTTGAAATCAATACTTCATCTGTTTTCATGACTACTTCACACATCTCAGCAATGAACTATGCCTCCTATGGTTTCTCTCACAATAAACTCTGAATACCACCTAATTCACCTGTGAACTTACCAGGCCTTTCACAGACACTACCATTGAGTGGGTTGATGCAGGTTGCAGCCTTCAGTCCCCGAGTACTGGGTTCTGATAAAATTCCACAGAATCCAGCATCACTGGGCTCAGACGGCATCCACTGTAGTAAACTATTTGTAAATGGGGACATATCTTCCCAGCACCAGTAGGACACATTGATCTTCCGAAGGCCGACCCATGGGGTTAAGGTGAGCTTGGACTAAAGGCAAAAGAGACACAACTATGAATACAGATAGTATCTTTTTTTAATTTAAATTTTGGAGATGGAGTCTTGCCATGTTGCCCTGGCTAGTTTCAAACTCCTGAGCTCAAGTGATCCTCCCACCTTGGCCTCCCAAAATGTTGAGATTATAGGCATGAGCCACCATGCCTGGCCTGAATATAACCAACATCTTGACCAAAACAAGCTTCTAGATAAAAACCACCAAGTTAAGTATACCCCACAGACATAGGAAAACCTCTTTATCCCTTGACTCAGCCATGGTAGATTAGGATAGATCATCACTTCAATATGGCCATTTTATAAAGGATAAAAATGTAGCTCAGAGAAGATAATATATCAAAAATTCACAGAAATTATAGCAAAGCAATATTTAAGTTCTGAAATGTCTATATGAAGAGATGGCTACCCCCAAACACAGGCTGAGTATCCCTAATCTGAAATCCAAAACACTCCAAAATCTAAAACTTTTTGAGTGCCAACATGATGGATGCTGAAGGAAAATGTTCACTAGAGCATTTTGGATTTCCAGATTAGGGATGCTTAACTGGTTAGTATAATGCAAATATTCTAAAATTCGAAACACTCCTCGTCCAAAGCATTTTAGATAAGGGATATTCAACTTATACCACATTTGCTTTATCCATTCATCCATCCTGGCACTGGATTTTATAGGGAATAATAGGACAGTGACACCTGGGACAGTCTGTCTTCTGCTCTCCTGAAATTTCCTTCTCATTGCAATTTTTAACAAGTTTTAAAAATCAAAATATAAAGTTTAGCCAAGAAATGGTAAGTATTCCTAATTTTGGTAGTTATAAAACAAAAGATATACTGTATTTCCCTCCCTTTGCTTTCTTTTGAGACAGGGTCTCGCTCTGTTGCCCATGCTGGAGTGCAGGGACATGATCATGGCTCACTACAGCCTCAAACCCCTGGGCTCAAGCAACCCTCTTGCCTCAGCCTCCCAAGTAGCCGGAACTACAAGTATGTGCCACCATCATGCCCGGCTAATTCTTTAAAAAAACTTCCTTTGTAGAGACGAGGTCTCCCTGTGTTGCCCAGGCTAGTCTTGAACTCCTGGGCTCAAGCAATCCTCCCTCACTGGCCTCCCAAAATGCTGGGATTACAGGCAGGAGCCACCACACCCAGCCTATTTCCATTTTTGAGAGGAAAAAATACACATGCCTACTAAAAGACCTAAAAATAAACAGATCCAAAAGAAAGAAAGACAATTAAAAATACTTTTTAAAGGCCCTTCAATAATTTCTTTGCCTTCACGATACAATTCAAATCCATTACTATTGTAGCCATGGCCTCGCAGGGTCTGGCCTTGGTTCCTTCCTGAGGCTCAACTATAAAAATCCCCTCCCATCCAGCCTGCAGCCAACCATGCAAACTTACCTGCAGCTCACTCAAAGAGCCACTCCCTTAATCATCTCCCTCTACATCTCACAGATGGGGGCACTAATTAAATCACAGAAAGCCCTTCCGTCTTCGACATCCTAATTCACTCCTTCTCACCTGCAGGGGTCACCTCCTTCCAGCTTTCTACCAGCCAGCCTCTGTCCTAAGGGTTAGGCTAGGTGTCCTTTCTTGTTTTTCCATAAAAATCTGGGCTCTACTAACTGGGCTACATCTAGAGGTATAGCTGTGGAAGGACATTACACTTCAGTTGTCTCTCATCTGTCAGTCTTATCATTAAGACTGTGAATTTCTGTTTCATAAACGTGGCCACAGCAGATTAGAATACCCAGAAACGTTTAGAGTTAGAAAACCTAAGGAAGAGAGAAAGGGTACCAGAAGTATATCTGTGGCCACCTGGTTGAACCCTTTTAACTTCTGTGGACTCGAGAGTCATTGTTAGAGACACCAGGGTAATAAGCAAAGCTGGGTGCCATCCATTTTCTGAGGGAGTGAATAACTATGGGAAAGGTCAGCTGCCAGCCAAGGATGGAATGCTGGAAGAGACCCACATTTGGACATGGAAAGAGAAACAACAGAGACAGTCACCAATGGAGATTCTGAAATCTGAAAAAGCTATCAAAATATTATGAAATACCAAATGTGGTCACAGTAGCCTGAGGTAAACACACTAAGAATATGTCACCAATGTTTGAGTGTCCATACCCCATCTAAGTTGCACTGAAAAAAGGGACTAATTGGAGAAAACTAAATACAGGGCACCTCCTACCAGTCTCAGAATGGCCCTATAGGTGGTACACAGAGGCCACAGGCAGCCGAGACCCAGGCCACATTTCCATACCTTCACATGAAGGAGGCTGTACCCAAGGAAGTGTTGCCCTCAACTCCTCCCTGCTTGGTAAGAACATTTCCACTAAACGTTTCTGTACCACAGCTGAAACTGCTGAAAGAGCTTTGTTCTATGAGTCTACTTAACTGACGGTAGGATCACAATTTATGACTCCAGACTAAAAATGACAAAATGTGATCATGGAATATTGACTATAAGCCCCCTGAGAGCACTGGGTGGACAAGCAGAGAACTTGAGCCTTTCTGGGCTTAGAAACTCTTGACAAGAAGGTGCTCTCTTCTTTTGAGATGGCTGGGCTATGAAAGACCCAAGGAGATGTACATTTCTTTTTTTTGCTGTTCTTTTTTTGTTTTGAGACGGAGTATCGCTCTGTCACCCAGGCTGGAGTGCGGTGGCGCAATCTCAGCTCACTGCCACCTCCACCTCCTGGGTTCAAGCAATTCTCCTGCCTCGGCCTCCTGAGTAGCTGGGATTACAGGCGCACACCACCATGCCTGGCTAATTTTTGTATTTTTAGTAGAGACGGGGTTTTACTATATTGGTCAGGCTGGTCTTGAACTCCTGACCTCAGGCGATCCACCCACCTCAGCCTCCCAAAGTGCTGGGATTACAGGTGTGAGCCACCACATCCAGCTGAGATGTACACTTCTTAGTGGTAATTATACAGTCTTATGCACTATTATAATACCTTAACTCCAAGGAACTCAGGTGGCTTAATCCAACCTAGCTAATTATCAGTGACCTCTCTTTCTCCCCTAGCAGAATCCAGAGGTAAAACAGGTATGAAATAATCTACTGATGTCACCAGATTATGTACACATATACATGTTACAATTCATCCCCCATATAATTATTCATAGATCTTATATATACAAAGTATTAAAAATTTTAAGAGGAAGAGACTCTGACAGCACAAACCCACAGTCCCTCAGGCTGCGTTCACCAGCACTCCCCTTCTTGCCAAGCACGTCACACATATCCACAGCCTTCCACATGCAAGCTGCAGTCATGCCCTTGGTAGAAAGGTGGATAACCAGAAACTTAAGTTTTGAGGATTTTAACTCACCATGCTCTGAGATGACTGCATTATTCGCAGCTGCTTAAGGACAAATTCTACCTTCTTCTGGGTTGTAAGAGAAGCCAAAAGGGCATTGTGGTTCCTACAGAACAATTTAGCATTGTCATAATTCTCCTTGGCAGTAGTAATTTTCAAACATGAGTTTCCAACCAAATGCCAGCCAATGCCACAGATATTTTCTTTCATTAAGGGGAAAAGAGAAAGAAAAGAATTTTAGAAATCAGACAAAACTACTGTATTATGAGTTCAAATTACTGAATACCGAAATGGCCTTTCTAATTTAAATTCTAGGTACTTCATTAGGATGTGGGAGCCTCTGACACATTATTAAGGACCAAATGCAGAATACAAGAATTTTAAAATGTTTACTGGTGATATCTCCCGGATCCTAAAAAGCATATTCTGAGGTCACTTATCCTATGTCTTAGATGAAAACACCAGTTTGGTGCCAATATTAGACTGGTACACTTCCTTCTGAAGAACAATTAGAAAACTAAAATCCTAAGTGAAGAGCAGACAAATGAATATGCATATTGGAGGGCTGGGGTAAAAACTGCAAGAATGGAAATGAATCAAGGAATTAACAAATCTATAGTCTCCAAAAGCTGCACTGTTTTCATATCATCAGGTGGAAGGTACAATCAAGTGTACAAAGCATCCCAAAAGCAAGGTGAGAAGGTCCTTCTTGAGAAACAACCCAAGTGATATGGCTATAGCATACAAGACAAGCTTGTAATCTGCTACCTGTGATCATCCTGAACCCACACAAGGTACTGCACAGAAGCTATGAATGCTTCCTGGAAGACAATGAAAGAACAAAGCAACTTCACCAGAACCAAAGTACTTTGGAGACATCAACAATGTTCATTAACAGTAACAGTCACTGAGATAAAAGAAAGGTACCATGGGAAAGAGATCATTTAAGAACAGACAAAGACTTGCTCCTCACAGTGTAGCAGTCGACTAGATAAAATGCACACTCTAGGCCCCACCCCACACTTGCACCAGAATATGCCTTTCGCAAGATTCCCAGGTCTTTTCCTGTACCTTAAAATTTGAGACACACTGAGATATAGAAAAGAGTCCCACTCTGCAAGCTGAATCAAAAACTTCCAAGGGACATTCAAAAAGGGCCTGGTCCAAACCAACTTCCCTGAACAAGCTCAGATGTTGTGCACAGACAAGGAAGTTCCCCTTTCTGGACCACCCTGGTCCAAATATATCACATGGCTGGCTGGTCTCAGGCCCTGAGTTCATCATCCTGAACCTCAGAAGCAGGATATATTGAGGTTTTCAGGGCTGGAGATCACCCCTAAAAGGTGCTGCTGACAGAAGTATCTATCCTCTCCTTCTCAGAGAAGGCCCATTAGCAGGTGCCAACAATTAAATCCCAGTGGTTAATAAGAAGTACTCTCCATAAAGTGCTCAGCAGACTGACTGCTGAGACATCATGGTCTAGTCCCAGGTTATCAAAGGTGGATGGGAAAGAGACAAGGAGCAGGCTCAGTGATACAGAACCAAGCTGTCACTCAATTCTACAGAGCAGCAAAGGATGTTTCACTTTATTTCAAAGGACAGTAGGAACAAATACTTAAGAACTGTATTTTAGTTAAAAACAAAAAAGCCCATAATACTCGTGTGGGGGATGAATGGACAGAATTAGCTCTTCCCCTCTGCTAGGTTCAACTTAGGCTGCACAGTGTTGGGGGAAGCAGGCTGAAGTAATGGACCCACACACACCAAGATGACCCTGCAAGGCCTACCGGGCAGGGCAATGCACTCCTGATTCCGGGGCTCCCACTGGCAGTTCTGGTCCAGGGCACAGCTCCTGCAGCTGGTCTTCTTGTTACAGTAGTACATGGGGTTATCCTTGGGGCAATTCTCATACCTAAAAATGGAGATCTAGAACACAGTGGACAAAAGCTTTTCTTTTGTATCCACAGAGAGAACTTATGGTGAGGACCAACAGGATATTATAGACAACAAAATCTAATTGAGGAAGCAAACTGCAAATAAATAGATAGACAGATAGATAGATAGATAGATAGATAGATAGATAGATAGACAGACAGACAGACAGATAGATAGATAAGTTGCAGTAGCTCTGCAGTGGGGAACACTGCAATGGAATGTTCTGCTCAAGGACATGCTTTTAACTGGCAAGGAAGCAGCCCACTCTTTTAAACACCATGCCTCAACCTGCTCATCTGTAAAATGGGAATGTTGAACTTGGTGCTTTTCAAATGCTCACTTCAAAAGTCTGAAAGTTTTCTATTTTATGAACTGTATGAGACTGACAAAAAAAAAAGTCTTGTAAGCTGTCAAAAACTATAAAAGCCTGGGTCATCTTATAACTTAAATTTAAAAATCTATATATGATGAGCAGTGAGATTATGCCAAACCAAGATATAAAACAAGGAGATTTTGCAAAGTCTGTCATTTCCACAGTTCAATATGGGCCGCTGTACACCTGACTCACTCTCAAACCCTAACTTTATCAAAACCTGGCACTGGTAAAGTGAGGTCACTATCAGATGCCTCAAACCAAGGATCCAGTGCTTAGTCACAGCCATGCCCAGGGACAACAGTCCTACCTTCTTCTAAAACACAATACACAAATTCCCAGGGCTAGTAGGACCCTTGAAATATACAGAACATCTCTTCCTAAAGGAAAACCTCAGGGATAATAAAATCCAAATAGAAACCCATTTGAAAAGTAACTCTGGGCCATTATTTATACCATATACACTATAAAAGCTAAACCTATGACAAATTGGGATTTTTCTGAAATCTTTAAGAAACAGCCTCTGACCTGGCCTTCTGAGCAGCTGTGGTTCCTGGGGACACAATGGTCATTGCACCAGTGGCAGTCATTGGTGTTGGCTGTGCAGCTGTAACAATCTGTGTGCTGGTCACATCTGTCATGGTCAAGAGCTGCAAAGAAAACAAAATCTCATGAACTGGGACAACTTCAATTGAGCAAAATCTGAGACCGAAGTTAAAAAAAAAATCGTAACAATGGTTAAGAAGTAAAATGAAGAATGAAACTGGCAGGAAAATATATTTGGTATGTTCTGGTTAAAATAATATTTAGAAATAGACAATCTAAAGAAACACTGTTTTGTACCCCAAAGAAAGAAGTACACAGAAAGTGAAAACAAGGATAGGTTAATTTAACAACTGTAAGATATAATGAAAGTAAATTCTGGCTCTTTGAATACTTTTCTTTCCAAGAAAAAAAAAATCAACTAGTAATAGAATGAACACCAAAGAAGCCCAGGAGCCAAAATATTGTAGGACACCAAGTCATTCCTCCTAGTTATAAACGCAAGGCTAATTTGGGCACAGGAAGTAGGCAGCACCACAGAACTGAACAGGAGGCATTAGGCTGAGCTGCATTTTGTACATGCGTGTAAATTCAAGAGTGCAAGTCTGAGAATTTCTGGGCTACTACAGACCTGCCGCATCTCCTGTTAACTCTAGAAAAGAGAAGCTGCATGGCCGGATGCGGTGGCTCATGCCTGTAATCTCAGCACTTCGGGAGGCCGAGGCGGGCGGATCACAAGGTCAGGAATTCAAGACCAGCCTGGTCAACATGGTGAAACCCCGTCTCTACTAAACCTAGAAAAATTAGCTGGGCATAGTGGCGCGTTCCTGTAATCCCAGCTACTCAGGAGGCTGAGGCAGGAGAACTGCTTGAATCAGGACCTGGGAGGCGGAGGTTGCAGTGAGCTGAAATTGCGCCACTGCACTCCAGCCTGGGCTACAGAGTGAGACTCTGTCTGAAAAAAAAAAAAGAGAGAAGCTGCACAACCATGTTGTCTCATCTGTTCAACCATCTCGTGGACATGGCACATGGGGGAATTCACAAACAGGAAAAGGCAGGTGCCGCTCTCACAAAGACCCCAGCAGTCGGCTCCTTAGGCTGCTCTTCCTGTCCTGGTCATTATCCCAAGGACTGGGCCCACCCAGAAAGTGGGGTGAAACAGGGAACTGAAGTCTCAGGTGAGATGACAGCAAATGGGTTGATATGAACACCTAAGGTAATTCAACACTATTTCCTATAAACATGCATATTTAATTTGAACTTTTAAAATTTGGTTTAAAAATTAACTATTTCACTGATTTTATCCCTTTCAAGAGACAAGCTAACCCTGCTAAGTTCTGGTAATCTTGGTTCTCCAGCACCCACCAGCCCACCAATGAACCTGAGTGGGTTGCCTGGGTGGCCTGTTTTTTTGTTTTTGAGACAGAATCTCATTCTGTCACCCAGGCTGGAGTGCACTGGCACACTCATGCCTCACTGCAGCCTCAACGTCCTGGGCTCAAGCCCTCTTGCCTCAGCCACCCTAGTAGCTGGGACTATAGGCGTGCACCACCATGCCCATGCCTGGCTAATTTTTGTGTTTTTGGTAGAGACAGGGTCTCACTATGTTGCCCAGGCTAGTCTTAGACTCCTGGGCTCAAGTGATCCCCATACCTCAGCCTCCCAAAGTGCTGGGATTACCGGCATGAGCCCCTGTGGCTGGCCCTGGGTGTTCTTACTGAGAATTTATATTCGTGAAAAGTTTAACTTGGAGCAGCATCCCAGGAATGAAAGCTGCTTCTATCCATCATAACTCTCAAGTTAACTGCAACACCAATCCTACTAGTAAGAAATTCAGCCAACATACTTTAAATTAATTGATGTAGAGACAACATTCTTACTTTTAAAGAACTTTCTGGCCATGTACAGTAGCTCACGCCTGTAATTCCAACACTTTGCGAGGCTGAGGCGGGCAGATCACTTGAGGTCAGGAGTTCCAGACCAGCCTGGCCAACATGGTAAAACCCCATCTCTACTAAAAATACAAAAACTAGCCGAGCATGGTGGCAGGTGACTGTATAAGAATCACTTGAACCTGGGAGGTGGAGGTTGTAGTGAGCTGAGATCACGCTGCTGTACTCCAGCCTGAGCGACAGAGACTCTGTCTCAAAATAAATAAATAAATAAATAAATAAAATAAAATAAAACAAAAAATAAATTTTTAATATATCGCTTCACTGTACCGCATTGTGCTCTATGTCACAGCAATATAGGACAAGAAGCAAAGCAGGCAGAAGGACGGAAACAGCTTGAAAAACATGGGGGAGGTTCTAGAAGCAGGGATCATCGCCCATCCTCAGTAACTGTCTGTCTTGATATCACTGTTGTATCCAACTAGAGACGCTAGACAAAAATACTTTGCAAGGACAGCAGCTCTCCCTCCCTCCACCAAAAAAATTTACTTCAACATGGCTTTTCTGGGCTGACTCTCCTAACTTCATCCTTAATGTTAGATCTGCATCCAATATGGTAGCCAGTAACCACAAATGTCTTTTAAATTAAAATTAAATTAAATTAAAAATTCAGTTCTTCACTCACACTAGCTACATTTCAAGTATCTGATAGCCCATGTGGCTAGTGGCTACCATATCGGGACAGTCCAGACACACAACATTTCCATCATCAAAAATAAAGTTCTACTGGATGGCACTGCCTCAGAGCAACTGCAGCCAGAATCTGGGGTCAGTATGCAAAGCCTATGCAATGCCAAAACGGTTATGTCTCTATCACTCGCAGACAGCTTCTAGGAGCCACATGGCATGTTCCCATCCGAGATGTTTACAAACCAATTATCAAATATCCAAAAACACTTTGTACAAGTTATTACTGAATAATTTTGGATAAGGTAAACATAAAAAGTATACATATGCTAAGTTCCTTCACAATTCAGATAAAATGAGGTCTCAAATTCATTAAAATCTAAGTAGAGAAAAAAAAACATACTTCTTTTGGAAAAACATTCTGATTTTAACTTTTCTTCTTGTTCATCAGTTGCCAGCGCCCACGAGATACACTGAGACGACCCTGTGTTCCACACACACCGAATACCAGGTCCTGCTGCTAAACAAGCGGCTTCACTCCGATGCGCATCACACTGTTCCGAGGTGAATACCAGGATGTCGCTGAGGAGGAGACTATTGAAACCACCGAACACATACATGGTGCTAAGAGGAAAAAGGGAGAGAAGAAATTTACTAGAGACTCAGATAACAATTGGATGCTATACTTTTTTTTTTTTTTTTAAGAGACAGGGTCTTACTCTGTTGCCCAGGCTAGTCTCAAACTCCTGGGCTCAAGAGATCCTCTCGCCTCAGCCTCCTGAGTAGCTGGGACTACAGGCACACACCACCACATCCAGCTACCATGATACACTTTTTACAGACAATCTTCAAACAAATCTTACATATCATAAGTCTTCTAAGAAATTATTTTTCAAGGTCTTAAAAAACATTATGATTCCCTTCCTTTCCAAATTCCATCCTTTCATCCTGGCCTATAACACACCCAGAATAGTTCCAATAATCTGCCTCCTCGTCATAGCTACTGTATTAAAAAGTTCTCATGATAGCCTGCTGACTTTTAACCATGAGTCACTGGAAAATTTTAGTGTCAGGATATGCTCACATCTTTTAATGCTAAACAGCAATTCTATATCTTCATTTTTTAAATATTAAAAATAAAAATGTACAAATTTAAAGCACAGGTAAAAGCCTCTGTAATTAAAGTTGTGTCATACTGGTACATGAATATGAGCCCAATCATAAACAGATAAAAGCACACATGTACATTTAGTACACAGTAAAAGTGGCATCTTACATTAGTGGGAAAAGATGTTCTTTTTAGTAAATGGTATCAAGATAACTAAACATATGGAAAAAAATAAAATTGAATCTATTTCTCTACATTCTGGGATAATTTCCACATGGATTAGAGCATCTTCTGAGAAAAACAAAACACACAAGCAGTAGAAGAATGGGTGAATTTCTCTATAACCTAAGAGTGAAAAAAAACTGACTTAAAATCCAGAAGGTAGGGGAAAAGAAGATTGAAAAATCTGGTCATATGAATTAAAAAGACGTTTTACATGGAAATAATGCTATAAGCAAAGTAAAAAAACAAATGATATGCTATGAAAAAAAGATTTACAAGTTATGTTATAGGAAAAGGACTATCCCTAACATAGAGCGGGGCTTCAGCCAGTTTGCAGAGAAAAAAATGCAAATGACCTTAAACATATGAGAAGATGCTCTAATTTCAGTGTAAGAAAAATGCAAATTAAAACTATACTGAGGTAGCATTTCTCACCTATAAGACTAGCAAAAAAAAAAAAAAAGCACAAAAAATTGACAATATATGGATTGGTGAGACTATGGGGCAAAAGGCACTCTCACACACTACTGCTGGGCATGTAAAATGATGCAGCCTACAGAGGGATTTGGCAAGCTCTAACAAAACTTTGCATTTACTTTTTGAACCTGAAATCACATTTCTAGAAGTCTAGCACAAAGATAGAATAGCAAAAATACAAAAAGAAGTACATGAGGCTATTCACTACAGCATTAACCCACTTATGCCAGAGGGCAAATTTTTTTGTGAAAAATCAGACCTTGGGGATGACCTTGAGCAGCAGGATATAAATAACTCCCACAAGCTTAGCGTTCCAATAATGGAACACTAGGCATAAATGGGTTAATAATAGCAAAAGACTCAAACAGCCCCAAATGTCCATCAATTGGGGATGTGACAAACTATAATACATCCACATAATGAAATATTAGGCAGATGTAAAAGGAATGAGGAAAATTTCTACATACTTCTATGGAGTGAGCACCAGTATATACTGCTATGTGGGGGAAAAAATGGAACGCAGAGAAAAGTATTCAAACAATGTAGCCATTTATCTATTGAGGGAACTAGAAGGTCAAACACACAAACGTGCACAAATAATTCATTTTCCTTTTTAAAAAGAAGAACACCACAGTTTCTCTTTAACCTGCCTTCTTAAAAAACCTAGAAACAACAGCCAACCCAGGAGCAATGAATACAACTAGTGCTTAGATTGTGCGTATTTAAAAACCATTCTTTCTCCCTCCTGTCACCCCTTAAAAACTAGAACTTTTTAGAGAAAAACCTAATTTCATGTCTGGATGAAGAAATGTTCACAATGAGTCTAGCAGATCTTGTTATACTGGGAAGAAAAGAAAACGAGGGTAGTATCAGATAAACTCAAAAGCTAATGTAAAGATGCCCTCACTGGCTAAAGATGGAAAATGTTTGAAATTTAATAAAAACACAAACTACAATAGATTAAAACACATGAAATATTTTTAAATCCATGAGTTCATAATGATACACATCTCCCATCCCCTGAAAAAAAAAAACAACCTAATTTGTCATCTTTGGACAATACTAAGAAATCACTACATTATTTTGAAGATTGGTAAACAAAGGGAAAGAAATAAACCTATGAAGTGATCTTGCCAAAATACTGAAGTGAATCTGATCAAGTTAATTTGTAGGAAGTTTAGGAGAGAGACCAATATGTTATATGAAAGCCCAGGATACAATAATCAAAATCTGGACTACGGGAAACTCTACAGGACAAACAACCCAGTCTCTTTAACAAGTAAGGGGGAAAATGATGGATGGGGTCCCTACAGATCAAGAGAAACTTCAGAGACATTTTAACCAATTGTAACATATGGATCTTATTTGGATTCTGAGTTGAACAAACTAAACTTAAAAAAAAAATTGAGACAATTAGGAGATGTAAACACTGAATGGACACTGAGAGATATTAAAGAACAACTTTTTTTTTTTTTTTGAGTTAGAGTCTTGCTCCATTACTCAGACTGGAGTGCAACAGCACCATCATAGCTCAGTGCAACCTCAAATTCCTGGGCTCAAGCAATCCTCCCACCTCAACCTCCTGAGTAGTTGGGACAACAGGCACGCACCACCATGACCAGCTAATTTTTGTATTTCTAGTAGAGATGAGGTCTTGCTGTGTTGCCCAGGCTGGTGTTGAACTCCTGGACTCAAGCAATCCTCCTGCCTTGGCCTCCCAAAGCGCTGGGATTACAGGCGTGAGCCACCACCCCTGGCTTAAAGAATAAAAGTGTAATAACTGCATAGGGGTTGTGTTTTAAAAATTAAGTCTTCATCTTTAAAAGACAGCCAATCCTCATTATAGTCATGTATGTGGTCCTGCATAACGATGTTTCCATCAATGATGGATGGCATGTACAATGGTTGTCATCTAGTAATCTAAGGTTAATTTATTATTGAAGAAAACAATTTTAAAATAAATTTAGTGTAGCCTAAGTGTACAGTTCACAAAGTCTACAGTAGTGTACAGTCTACTCACTCACAGACCTCCCCAGAACAATTTCCAGTCCTGTATGCTCCCTCTCTTCATAGTAAGTGGCCTGTACAGGTGTACATTTTTTTATCTTTTATATTGCATTTTTACTGTACCTTCTCTATGTTTAGATATGCTTGGACACACAAATACTTACATTGCATTACAATGACCTACAGTATTGAGTATAGTAACATGCTGCACAGGCTTGTAGCTAGGAGCAACAAGCCATACCATATAGCCTAGATGTGTAGCCTAAGTTTATGTAAGTACACTCTGTGATGTTGGCACAATGATGAAATTGCCTAAGGATGCACTTCTCAGAATGTATCCCTATCATTCAGTGACACATGACCATATCTGCAGATTGTAGATTCCATATTTGCAAATTCACGTACTTATAAAATCTATTTCTAATTCCAAAATCAATACTTGCAGTAGTTTCATGGTCATTTACCAGCATGTGTGTGCAAAGAATGGCAAAAAATTTGAGTTGACACACATGCATATTACCGGCTAAGGTCAAACAAGGAGATGCTCTCCCTTCTTGTTTCAACTATCATACTACAAACAAGTGTCCCTTCCATGATGTATCTAGTGCCATGTTTTATGCATTTTTGTGCCTTATGTTAGTGCTTTCACTGCTGAAAATGGCCCCCTATGCAGTGCTGAAGTGCTGTCTAGTGTTCCTAAGTGTAAGAAGGCTGTGACGAGCCTTACTGAGAAAATACGTGTGTTACATAAGCTTTGTTCAGGCATGAGTTAAAGTGCTGTTGGCTGTGAGCTCAATGTTAATAAATCAAGAATATATATTCAACAAGATGTTTTTAAATAGAAACACACATAAAAGAAAGTTATGTATGCTGACTGGTTGATGAAAATGTCATCAGAGGTTTATAGAAACATAACCCTGTATTTCCCCTAGGAGCAATAATTCAATATTCAAGAATTCAGTGTTTATAGTTACTTTATAGAGTTGTGAAAAATGAAAACAAATTGTTATCTGAAATATATTTTTTTTGAGTTAGGGTCTCACTCTGTCACCCAGGCTGGAGTGCAGTGGCGTCATCATAGCTCACTGCAGCCTCAAACTCCTGGGCTCAAGTGATCCTCCTGCCTTAGCCTCCCAAAGTGCTGGGATAACAGGCATGAGCCACCATGCCTGGCCTAATCTGAAATATTTACTGGTAGATTTCAAAAACTAAAAAATTAATATAAGGTTTCTTTCTCTTTTTTTTTTTTTTGACACAGTCTCGCTCTGTTGCCCAGGCTGGAGTGCAGTGGCGCGATCTCAGCTCACTGCAAGCTCCACCTCCTGGGGTTCACATCATTCTCCTGCCTCAGCCTCCCGAGAAGCTGGGACTACATGCGCCCGCCACCACGCCCAGCTAATTTTTTTGTACTTTTAGTAGAGATGGAGTTTCACAGTGTTAGCCAGGATAGTCTTGATCTCCTGACCTCGTGATCCACCCGCCTCGGCCTCCCAAAGTGCTGGGATTACAAGCGTGAGCCACTACGCCCGGCCAGGTTTCATTTTTTACCTTGCTATAGGCTTACTCAGTACCACATTAAGCAGGCTAGATTCAACTAGTTAATTTGTTGCTTAAACCAAATAAGCAACCTCCTCTTCCCAGTACAGTTGGTGTTCTCAGCAATTGTGAATCCATCTGGTTGCACAGGGGCTCTGCAAAGTTAGGGAGAGTCTCTCAGAGACACATGGAGCAGGCAACTGAGAGGCACAGCTGCATCTCCTGCCGCCTTGGTATGTCACAGCCATCTCTCCTCCTCCTTCCTGCCTCCCTCAAAACCTCAATGAAAACCAAGGAAGGCACAGCTCACCCAATGCTGTTGATCCACTTAAAGCATGAAGAAATGCTGTGAATCGAAGTTTCTTTTTCAGTAAATTATTTCATAAAATTAAACCAAAACTATGGCCTTTTAGTAGCTGGCCTCCCTCAGGGTCTCCTGCCACCTACCCAATCCTGTCTCACACACACAGATACTTACATATCAGGGTTCAAACATACCACTGGAATCACATAAAATGAAAACATTACAACTCAGGCAAGGCATTCCCAATTTTGACTCATGATTAAATTATATTTTATGGTAAAGTCTCAACTTCTCTGAGTTTGAATAAAACCTAAGAATGTTTTATAAAAAATTCATTTGTTTGCTAGTTATGACTGTACTAATACCTGCCATTTAGCAAATGTCTATTATGTGCCAAATCCTGTGCTAGGAGAACTAGGAACACAAACGAAGACAGTTGAGGCCAGGCTCCCACAGGCATGATAATGACAAAATGGTCCCACTGCGTTTCAGATGAAAATCTCAAGAGGCACTTGCTAGAAAGCTTTAAGGGTCTTCTGTACTGAGGAAGTTCAAGATTATGATTTATAATAACACTTCAAATTAGCAAGGTGGCCAGAAATCCTTCCATTTTAGTCTCTAGCTGTCAAATGTTCTCATAGTAAAACCATACACATTGCTAAAAAACGAAATAATTACCTTATATAAGATAGCACCTTTTCCTAGTAGCTAGTTCCTAAATTGTCTCAACTCTTCCTTCACAACATCTCCAAAATATGTCACCTTCTCACTTTTCCTTTTTTTTTTTTTTTTTTTTGAGATGGAGTCTCGCTGTCGCCCAGGCTGGAATGCAGTGGCATAATCTTGGCTCACTGCAATTTCCGCCTCCTGGGTTCAAGTGATTCTCCTGCCTCAGCCTCCCAAGTAGCTGGGACTACAGGTGCCTACCACCACACCTGGCTAATTGTTTTGTATTTTAGGAAGAGACGGGGGTTTTGCCATGTTGACCAGGGTGGTCTGGAACTCCTGGGCTCAAGTGATCGGCCCTCCTCGGCCTCCCAAAGTGCTGGGATTACAGGCGTGAGCCACCGTGCCCGGCCTCTCATCTTTCCTAATCTAAGTGAAATTACCTCATCTGTCTTCCATCGTTACAACAGAAATTTCAAAAGCCAAAGGAATTCTAACATGATGCAGGCATTATAACGCTTAAACATCCTTAGGATTTATATGGCTTAGAATTTTAAAAAAGGGAAAGTAGACAGCAGTAGTAATAGCAGAAACTGAATGAGAAAAATTAATAATGTGATTAGGCTGTTTAACTTCTTAAAAATCTTTAAAGCACACTGTAAGGAACAAGTAGAGTGGCCACTCTGAATCTCCCTTATTTGACTGAGACTTCTCCAAGGGCCGATTTTTTGAAGAGCTCTGGTAGTTTGGGCCAGGCATTTTTGAGCGATAAAATGCAATGAACTGCAGACTTCTGATTATCCAGAGCCTACAGACTTGAGCTATATTAAACTTCACAATCTCTCCACCTCTGTTCTCCTACCTTATCCCCCCATCTGAAGTGCCCTCTCTCCTCTTTTCCAAACTTCTTACTATTCAGATACAACTACTAGGAACTTGACAACCTAAATACCACTAACAATAACAAAGGACATAAGACAATGACATGCACGTAACTTTTGTTGCCCCAGGCACTCAGACCACACCAAAAAGCATGCTCTTGCGTGCTAACAAAACCAGATCAATAAACATGGCATTCAAAGTAATTCACCTCCACATCAAATATTTTAAACATAAATCAGAAAATTTATACCCACATAATCCTGTAAAAAAACTACTGGGATGAGGGAATCTTGTGAATAATATGTTGAGTCCAATTCCACTTTACTTTTCTCTTTTTTTTTTTTTTTTTTTTTTTTGAGACAGAGTCTTGCTCTGTTGCCAGGCTGGAGTGCTGTGGCGCGATCTCGTCTCACGGCAACCTCCAACTCCCTGGTTCAAGTGATTCTCCTGCCTCAGCATCCCTCGTTCAAGCGATTCTCCTGCCTCAGCCTCCCAACTAGGGGGGATTACAGGCACGCACTACCAAGCCCAGCTAATTTTTGTACTTTTAGTAGAGATGGGTCTTTACCATGTTGGCCAGGATGGTCTTGATCTCCTGACCTCGTATTCCACCCGCCTCGGCCTCCCAAAGTGCCAGAATTACAGGCGTGAGCCACCGTGCCCGGCCCTTTATTTTCATTTTAAACACAAAAGAAAAGGAGCAATCACTTCTCCAATTACCTGTTGTGTAAGACTGCTGAATGGCCAAATCTGTTGACATCATGGTGGAGATCAGGTCTGGGAAGCACTGACCAGCGGTCACAGGCTAGGAGAAAGAAAAATATATTTTTAAACGGACTACCATTTCTAATCAACAGGACCTGACATTTTCTTTGGGAAAAATACTACAACAAAGAGAACCTCATAAAACATGCCTCTCAATTTTCTCAGTTACAACATCATTTCTGGGTTAAAATGAAGCAGCAGCAGAGCAACAGGGCATGGAAGAAAGGCGGGATCATACCACAATTCTAACTAGCAAACGCACCCGAAATCCATGACATCTGGATCACTCACCCAACTGCCTATCAGTTTGATGCACTAGAATTGAGACAGAGTCTCGCTCTGTCACCCAGGCTGGAGTGCAGTGGTGTGATCTCAGCTCACTGCAAGCTCCTCCTCCCAGGTTCACGCCATTCTCCTGCCTCATCCTCCCAAGTAGCTGGGCCTATAGGCGCCTGCCACCATGCCTGGCTAATTTTTTTTATTTTTAGTAGAGATGGGGTTTCACCGTGTTAGCCAGGATAGTCTCAATCTCCTGACCTCGTGATCTGCCCACCTGGGCCTCCCAAAGTGCTGGGATTACAGGCATGAACCACCACGCCCAGCCAAGAATGTTTTTTAAAGCAAGCAAATTTTACATTCTACAAAGCTTATGTCAGCAAAACATGGGTTTCATAATTATTTTCCACTCTTTTCTATATTGATTTGCTCAAATTTAGTAGCTAAAATGGAAAAATAAAGGTGGAAAATGAAATTTCAAGAAATTTAAATGTCACCTAATTTTTACAAAGTCCTTTCCTAGATCCCATAGATTGATTAATTTTCCCTTGTTGTGACCCATACTAGCAACTTCTCTTCTGGATCTAATACCAACTGGTGCTGCTATACCATGCCAACCTCACACTCAGTGTCTCACTCTTTGAGCCCTTAAATATGTGCCGGTCTTTTCCACCTCTGTGTCTCTGCAAACTGGGTTTCCTCTGCCTGGAGAGTGCTGCCTAACTTCACCTACCTGACACCTAGTGTCCCCAAGGACCCAGAGAGGATGGCCCCTCCTTAAGAAAGTGTTCCCTGTTTATCACTCTACCCTCCATGACTTAAAGGGTACTCAGAGGTGCTCTCATACATTCTTTTCAGCCAGAAACACCCTGAAGTGCAATTCTATTGTCTGCTCATTTCTCTACCTCTTCTACTTTGAGGCTAAGGGCTTTAAGTTATTCATCTGATCTCCTCAATGTACAAACTGAGTGGCTGGCACACAAATGTCTGTTAAAAACGAATGTCTGACTTGGAATAGTCAAAATCACAGAGACAGACTGTAGAATAGTGGTTGCCAGGCATTGTGGGGAGGAAGAAATGGGACATTATTGTTTAATGGGTATACAGCTTCAGTCTTACAAGATGAAGACAGTTCTGAAGATGGATGGCGGTGATGGATTTATAACATTATGAATGTGTTTAGTATCACTAAACTAGACATTTAAATATAGTTAGGATGGTAAATTTTATGTGTATTTTACCACAATCAAAAAAATAATAATTTGTTTAAAATGAACATCTGACAATTTTTATGAAAGAGATCATCCGGTATGCATTTGCTTTGCATGAACAAATACTGCCCTCTTCTGGTCTGGTATATTGCCACACCAAGACCATGTGAGAAACCAGTTTTCTAGGGAATGAGATAAAGCTAATACGTGAACCAATTTTAACACAATGCTGGTGGTTGCAACTATGTAACACTACCAGGTAGGCATAACATGACAAAGGAGAGACTAGACACCTCAACTCAGCCTTAAAAATTAGCATTCAAGCAATTAACAGGAGTGATTTCAAAAAGAATTTAATGTAGAAATAATTTTTACCAGATGTGTAACATTAGTCAAATGAATATAAAAAATACCATTTGGACCTCTTTCAAATGGCCTGATCATTTTGAACTGGCAATATTTTCAGTCTCCTTTTAAATGCTGCTTATAGTATAGGCAAAAAGATGCCTGAAGAGAAAATGGTTTTGGGAAACTTACCAATGTCATAGGCCATGAAATCTGAAGAGAAGCATTTGGCGCCATGGCTCATAGATGTGTCATTGTGTGTGTTTCCTCCAAACACCAGCATGGTTCCACTCACTATCACAGCTGTGTGCAAGTAACGGAAAAATCGGCTGTCCTTAAGAATGGTCCTTTTGAGTTTATTTAGAAATAATAAATACAAGGTTAGTTTTTAAAGAATATTTATGTATCTGCTAATGCAAGCACAACCACTTTATTAACCTCAGACCCAAATGTACAAATCCTTCCAGAGTTTTCCCTACATAAAAGTAAGTTTTTCAACAATAAATACAGATAATTTTAAAGACCTGTAAGAGTTTTGGCAAAATATATTAAGAACCTTAAACTCTTCATACCCCGTAGCTATATAATTCCAGTTTCTGGGCAGAAATCATGTGAAATATTGACAGAAGCTTAATGCATAATGGTTTCTTAATGACATAAAAACTAGAAAGAAACCAAAACTTTCACCTGCATAGTCTCAGCATACCCACAAAATGGAGTATTGCACAGCTACTAAAAATGATTATTTTTATGACAGAATATAAAACAGTACCCATAGCAAGGTATCAAACATGTGAGGAAAAAGAGGAGAAACCATCGCTTTATAATTACATTATTTCGTAACTCAAATTTGCTTTACATTTGTTAAAAAACTCTAAGTATTTTCTAACCAACCTGCTACAGAATTACAGAATAACGTAACAAAATAAATACTAGCTACTTTATTACCCTCTGTTTATTTCCCAATTTCTCTATATATAATGCCGAACAGAATTATCTGCCAGGCATGAAAACAAAAAGATAGCACAATATTTTCTCCACAATTGCCTCTACAGAATTTACACCTTAAAGTGAAAGCTCAAGAAAAAGTACCCACCACATCTGGGTATCCACATCATATCGGTAGAGATCATCTGCAAGCCGGTACTTATTGGCACTGAAAGCCTTGTAGCCACCATGAACGTATAGGGCCCTGGTCCTATGGTCGTAAACACTGCTATGGCCGTAACCCCCTTGCACAAGGGCACCCTGGGTGTGTAATATACTCCATGTGTTCTTATCTGGAAAGGAAAGACAGTTAAAGGCAAGCATGGCAGGCTCCTCCTCTCTACTACTGAAAATGTCCAAAGAGCTTAGGGCATGAGAATGGATTTCAGGAGACCTGATACATATACTTTTTTATCTTTATATTTTAAAGAAAGCCACCTAAAACTTATAACAAAGCCATGTGGCCCAATTCCAGTCTGTTCTATGTTCTGATGTTCTAATATGCCATGTAGGAAAAGAATTAACTAAATTTAAAACACTCAGGGCCAGGCGAAGTGGCTTACATGTGTAATCCCAGCACTTTGGGAGGCTAAGGTGGGAGGATCACTTGAGGCCTGCTATGTTGGCCAGCCTGGGCAACATAGCAAGATCCCATCTCTACTAAAATTAAAAAATTAGCCAGGAGTGGTGGCACGCACCTGTAGTCCCAGCTACTAGGGAGGCTAAGGTGGGAGGATCACTTGAGGACAGGGCATCAAGGCTGCAGTGAGCTATGATTGTGCCACTGCACTCCAGCCTGTGTGAGAGAACAAGAGCCTGTCTCAATAAATAAAATGTTCACTCAAATGAACATTTAATTCCCTACAACCTTTGGTGACCAATATACAGATATATTTTATAGGCCTACTTTCACAAAATGTTAATTATACCTGGTATTCCTACTGCACAACAACAGATACAATGAAATTTAACCAAGGGAAATATTTCATATTAAGGGTAAATCATACTCCACTAAACCAATCTCTAAAGGGCTGGGCAAATATTTTTTTTCTTCAATATTTATTGTTTTGAACCATTTTTATTTATTTATTTTAAATACCCAAAGCACTTTGCGTCATCTTTGGCTCCTTACCAAATTGACAGTAACAAATACATACTACATAGGAGCATCGATAATCTGCATTTCACTGGTAATACATCAATGTTAACTATGTTGCTTTTGTTTGTTTGTTTGTTTGTTTGTTTTGAGACGGAGTCTCACTCTGTCCCCCAGGCTGGAGTGCAGTGGTGCAATCTTGGCTCACTGCAACCTCCACCTCCCGGGTTCAAGCGATTCTCCTGCCTCAGCCTCCTGAGTTGCTGGGATTATAGGTGCCCGCCACCAGGACAGGCTAATTTTTGTATTTTTAGTAGAGACAGGGTTTCACCATGTTGGTGCCAGGCTGGTCTTGAACTCCTGACCTTAGGTGATCCGCCCGCCTCAGCCTCCCAAAGTGCTGGGATTACAGGAGTGGGCCACCACGCCTGGGCCCAGTGTTTACTATGTTTCAAGATAAAGTACCGAATCAAGATTAGGTTGAACTTTTCTAAACAGTCAAAATAATAAGCTTAGAGGTTTTAAATCTGATGTTCAAAAGGCATCTACTGGAAAAAATATACCTACCCAAATCATATTCCTGCACATTGCTTATATATCCATAGAGAGGGCAGTGACCAAAGATGACCAGCATGACCACTCGGCCATTCTTCAGTGTAACAATGTGTGCAGAGTGCCCAACCACTGCATACTGCTCCTTTGCCTTAGGGGTCAACAACACCCATGACTCATTATGAATGTGAAAAACTCTCAACTCATTGGTCACATTCCCAGTTGAATCAATTTTTCCTCCATACATGTAAATTTTATCCTAGGAAAAAAATGCAAACAAAATTTTTAAAAACATTGAAAAGATTAAATCTGAGAACAGAGAAGAACAAAAGCTCAATATTATTCTCAGCTTAAAAAAGGTTAGTCAAGAAACTAAAAATAGAACTACCCTATGATCCAACAATTTCGATACTGGGTATATATCCAAAAGAATGGAAATGAACATATCAAAGAGATATCTGCACTCCCATGTTAATTGCAGCACAATTGACAATAGCCAAAACATGGAATCAACGTGTCTATCAATGGATAATTAGATAAAGAAAATGTGGTGTATATATACACAATGGAGCATTATTCAGCCGTTAAAAAGAATGACATCCAGTCATTTTGTAGCAACATGGACTGAACTGGAGGTCATTATGTTAAGTAAAATAAGCCAAGCACAGAGACAAATATCACATTATCAATCATATGTGGGAACTAAAAAAGTGGATCTCATGAAGATAGAGAGTAGACTGGTGGTTACCAGAGGCTGGCAGGCTGGTGGGGGAGAATGAAGAAGGAAAAAAAGAATGTAAATATATTTATTACCACCAAACTGTACACTTAAAAATGGTAAAGATGGTACCATTATATACGTATATTTTACCTCAGTAAAAAATAAATTAAAAAAAATTTTAAGGGTTAGCAAAAGGCGCCTTTCAGTGAGTTACTAGGAAAAGGATAAAAAAAGGGAAAAGGGAAATAAAACTAATCATATTTTACATCTCTAATACTTCACCAGTTTTCTTGGACTTCCTCACATGAATCTTTTATAGTATAAAAGGACTTGGAAAAATAAAGTTGCCTCATCCTACCATCTATCTATAAAAATGAGGAAATGAAAATGTTTGTTCAGCCACATTACAATGTGGCTATTCTTGGCTAAACTTGCTTATGAGAATAAAAGCTAATCTACACTTTTTAATCTACATCTTTAACCATTTAGTGCCATTATTATAATACCCCATTACAGTTTGAAGCCATTAAAATCTCTTGAGTTAAAAAAGTTTCCATTTTAATTTCTACTTATAACTTAGCCAATTATATAATGCCCCCAATAAAAAGTTTTCCCCAATTAAAAACCAACACTGAGGTAGCTTTTCAACTATGTAATACATGAAGTAACTGAGGAAAACTTAGTTTCTTGCTTAGCACAGAGTGGAGATGCTTTACCTTGTATAATGCCAAAGAATGACCATATCTAACAACCACATTGTTCACAGAACGGTTTAGTGGAAGCCACTCCCTAGAAGCAAGGTCATACCTACAAAACAAACAGATCATATTTTCACCCAACTAATAAGACAGAACATCTCATACTATTTTATTTGTGACATAATCCAGTTTGGAGATGCTCACTAAATCCACCATGGATGTAGGGGGGCACTTGTCACCTTCACAAATAAACCTGACACCTGGGCCCACTGGACAAGTGATAACTCAGGAAGAGGAGCTGGACTACAAAATCCTGGGAAAAGAAAGGAATACAAAGCTACTGGAAGGTTCTAACACTTCCTGAAAACCTCTTCTATACACAGTCTAAATCATTTAAAGGTTGCATTGTACTCAAGGGACTCAAAATTTTATTACAATAACTTTTCTTTTATTTAATCATGAGAAACTGAAGATAGGTACCAAAAAAGGGATGATAATTAAGTAAAAGAAAATTACTAATCTTTCCTTTTCTTTATATAATTGACTAAAAATACATTTTCAAAAGCCAGAATACCATTATAGCATTTCACTTGTACTACGAATATAAAGACCTTAAAATACAAAAATGCCAAAAAGAAAATAATTTATAATCCTGCCATGCAATTTATACTTATTAATGCATTATTCAATAATCACATTCAGTATCTTAAAGTACTCACTTTTGAGTTTTTGCTTTTGAGAAAAACTCTACTGTTTTTATAAAAATCATACATGTTCATTATAAAGAATGTAACCAATACAAAGAATAAAGAGCTAAAAGTTTTTTTTAAAAGATGCCACATTCCATGATCTAGAAATAAATATCATTAAGTAAACATCATTCCAGACATCTTTCTATGCATATGAGGATACTGTTAATAAAGTGTTGATTTTAATTATTTTCATAAAATAGAAAAAAAAACAAAAAGAAATGATATTGTTATATCTTAAGTAAATGTTTCTTTTCTATAAAAGTTTACCTGGATATTCCAAGTATTTAAAAAATCTTGAAAAACATTATCATATATAAGCATAAAGGTATAAGAAAGTTTATCACAATAGCAAAAAAGAATACAAATAAATGTCCATCCATTGAAAATCAACAAATAAATGGTAATATATCCAGATAGATAACATAAAGAATAAGTATACAGAATGAAAAATATACGCCAGCAACATATGTCAACATAAATCTCAAAACAATGTTAAGCTAAAATAGCACACTGCAGAATATTGTTTCTATAAAGACTAAAAACAGAAAATTTATTAATTCTACTATACTTTCATATATCTGTAATGTATAACATATATGTAAAGTATAACATATATATGAAAGTATGAACAACTGACACCAAAATCAGGATACAGGTTATCTCTGGGACTTTGGAGGGACATGCAAGGGACTTCAACTGTGTTAGCAGTGTTTTAATTTCTAAGCCGGTGGTGAATCCATTGGTGTTAATTTTCTCTAAGCCTTTCCTTTTATCTTAAATATTTTATACAAGATCTGAAGCAAATACAACAAATGGTGACAACTATTAAATATTAATTGCACATAACTATTATTTTACATATTTTTGGAATATTGCACTCTTAAAAATACATGAAAAATTATTTAGAGGTTGAATTTAAAGTTATATGCAATTTATTTTTGTACAGAATTCACTAACTTCTTGCTTTGAAAGTTGAAAAATCTTAGCACTCACATTGCCTCTCATTTCTTCTTCCAATTTTTGTTATAAAATTTTTACAATGTCCAGGTCCTTAACATTTGCACTACATTCAATAACAGTAATTCCATAGTTATTTAGTCCTGAATTTTAGCTGACTCAATCTCCTCACAGTCCTTTTACCACAACTTCTCTTTCTTGAGCTCTTCAATTCTCCTCTGGATTTCACTGTCAAGAGGGTTTTTGTTTTGTTTTGTTTAAGTAGAGCTCATAGTACTCTTTCCCTGAATTCACTCTTGTTTGAGAATATCTGCCTGCCAGCTTTACAGCAGAATGACACCTTGGCTGGGTACACTATTCTTGGACCATCCTTTTTTTCCTCCAGAACTTCGCAGATGTTGCTCCCTTGAACACTGCTGGTACTGAAAATGTTGCTACGGAGAAGTCTGTGGCCAGCTTATTTCCCTCTTTTTTCATGGTTTGCTTTTCTGCCTGGAAGCCTGAAGAATTCTGAATCATTCTCATTCTCTCTTCTTCTCTGCCTACCCGCAACCTCTATTTTTTTTATGACATGATATTGTATTTTACTTCAAATAGAAATAAATCCATCCAGGAATATGTTTTTATAAAATGGACTGCATACCACTGCAAAGCTTTTTTGGAATTCTGGCTATGAAAGGTGTTTCCTGAGAAGGACTCATATAGCTTCCAACTACACATATAGACTTTATGTTCAAGCCAGAGGCTTGTTTCTGTATGTTTAAAAGAAAGGAAAGAAACAGAGGAAGGACAGAAACAGGTCTCCACATTTCTGTTAAAGGGCACGGAGAGTGCCCAATCTGTCTCTTAATGTATTTTGCTCCTCTTCTGTCAACAAGTCAGACCAAGAGCTTGTCAGAGACACATAGGTGCTGGCAGGTCCCCATAATCTGGCTAAGGTGAACCATCAGAAGACACTTAAACAACATGCTGTTAATCATCTCTCAACACAGAGAAAAAAAAACATAAGACAAGAACGATACTGATGCAATAAAACATAAATTTTATGTTTTAAAACATAAAAAAGTATCTCGTACAAAAAAGTACAAGATAAATGCACCTTCTGGGAGCTGAATCCAAGATAACAGAATAGTGAACAACTAATTCTAAGACCTAAGCAAGCAAATAAGCAAAGATAGATTCCAGAAATTCAGAAAAAGATGTCTTCCATAGAGTGACAGCACCTCCCTCGACCCCTCTAGGATGGCTGGCAAGCCAATGACCATCATGTACCACAGGGTACAGGTTTCAAACTCCATAATGGCCTGGTAACCCAATCGGGCCACCTAAAGACCAAGGCAAAGGCTCTGTGGAGACTAGACATGACCCCAGACAGCAGATAGCACAGAACTACCTGAGGCCTCCCAAATAATAATTTGTCCTTTATCCCAAAAGTTCAATGACTTTATTTTTCTTGGATACACTCCAAGCACAAAAAGCTCAATAACTTGATCAAATCAGGTTTTGTCATGAAGAAACTATAAAATTTTTCTGAAACACCTTGTGCTGTTTCAATCTGTCTGTTACATGTGTTAGGTTCTTTTCTTCAGTGACTGCAATTATAGTTCTATTTGATCACCTTCTGTCCTTTGTGTGTTTTTGCTTTTCTGGTTTTTTTCCCAATGTATTACTACAATTATCTCAACCTGTCAGTAATTAAATTTTCATTCTAATTTTTGCTGTATCTAATTTATTCGTATTTCTTTAGGCCTACAACCTCCCAATTCTTCTGTTATTATCATCTTGTCTTCTAGCTTGTTTTTCTGAACTCAAATTCTCATTAAGTTGATCTGCAGCACGAAGCAGTTGGAAGGAATCTCCTTCTGCTCCTTGAAGCTGCTTTTCCTCCATGATGGGTTCTTGTTAGATTTTACAGGCTGCAGTCTTTCTTCCTCTTTATTTTTTCATCATAGAATATTTGCACTAGCTACGATGCCACTTCTTTCATCTTGTTTGAGGTTACACATAGCTCTCCAGACATTTTATTTGCAAAGTGTGGGTGATTTCTCAATTCTGTTCCCACTGTATCTAAGACAAGTTTATCGAATTTCTATCCTTTCCATAGCTTTAGTGTGAGGGCTGGTATTTTATGTTCTATCTACTCTTCTGAAGTCTAAGGAAATGTTGGGGCTCAGATGAGAGTGCAGTCTGTTAGAATAAAATACCCAGACTCTCCTCTCCTCTGAGATTTTGTTTTGTGGTCTACCACAGTGCTCAGATCATATTCTAATTTAAATAGAAGCTCTGAGTTCTGGGTAGGGAATCAGCCACTTGGTCAATTTCTCCCCCTTTCACCTGATCCTCCCCAGCAACTATGTCTCCTACTCTTCAGTTACAGTCAAAAACAGTAATGCTCACTCAGTTTGCTTCCTTCCAGATTTTGGGCTATCACCGAGAATTATCAGAATCTCCCCGAGTGTGGTTTCTGTGGGGTATGTAAGAGGTCAGGTCGGCCGGGCGCGGTGGCTCACGCCTGTAATCCCAGCACTTTGGGAGGCCGAGGCGGGTGGATCACGAGGTCAGGAGATCGAGACCATCCTGGCTAACACGGTGAAACCCCGTCTCTACTAAAAAAATACAAAAAATTAGCCGGGCGAGGTGGCGGGCGCCTGTAGTCCCAGCTACTCGGGAGGCTGAGGCAGGAGAATGGCGTGAACCCCAGGGGGCGGAGCCTGCAGTGAGCCGAGATCACGCCACTGCACTCCAGCCTGGGCGACAGCGAGACTCCGTCTCAAAAAAAAAAAAAAAAAAAAAAAAAAAAAAGAGGTCAGGTCACACTTGGTGTTCCATGAGCCTGCTTTAACATTTATTGGATTCGGTGATGCTACTTTGCTTATTTGGTTGACTGCTGACTGATTTCTTACTATTTTTTTTTAAACTTAAAAAAAGCTTTTCTGCTCAAGAGAAGGAAATTTGGTAATGAAGTTTCAACTGGCAATCTTAATCCAGGGGACCAAGACCACTTATTTCACAAGAGGACCATTGGGTAACAAAATGGGAATTGCTTTTTAATGCAACTAAAAAGTTTTGCGTTAACAGGACTGTGAGGAAAATGACAGGAAGAGCAATTCCTAAAATACTTTCATGTAAGAGTATAAATGACTATAAAATCTGTAATCTGGCTGGGCATAGTGGCTCACGACTGTAATCCCAGCACTTTGGGAGGCCGAGGCGGGCAGATCACGAGGTCAGGAGATCGAGACCATCCTGGCTAACATGGTGAAACCCATCTCTACTAAAAATACAAAAAATTAACTGGGCGTGGTGGCAGGCCCCTGTAGTCCCAGCTACTCGGGAGGCTGAGGCAGGAGAATGGTGTGAACCTGGGAGGCGGAGCCTGCAGTGAGCCGAGACTGTGCCACTGCACTCCAGCCTGGGCGACAGAGCGAGACTCCATTTCAAAATAAATAAATAAATAAATAAATAAATAAATAAATAAATAAATAAAAATCTGTAATCTAAGTTCCAGAAACACTACTTCTAAAATGAATCACTAAATTAACTTTTCATGAAAGTTCATTATTTGGAACTATGCTAATATTTACGTGAAACAAATAAAGCTGTAGAAAATCATGTTTTGATCAGTAGAAAAAAAAAGTTATGATCTAAAAAACAATGTGGCTCATGAAGTATGTCAGTCAAAAAAAAGTAATAGGTGATATTAATATTTCCAGGAACAGATGTTTGTGAAGGAAATAAATCATTTACTCCCCCGTTTATCTGATAAATACCTATCTGAGTACCTTCTATGAGCTAAGCTCTGAGTGCAGTGAGTAAACAAGGTCCCTAACCTTGAAGAACTTGGCAAAGGCAGACAAAGAGCAAGTACAACAGTGTGCACTGACATAACAAAAAATCACTAACACTGCCATAAAGAAAATGAGGACTATAAAAAAGAACAGGGAGAAATGTCTGAACTGGATGGTCAGAGAAGATCTCTCTGGGAAAACCACACTGAGATCTAAAGGGTGAGAAGACACCAGCCCTGAGGCACAATAGCAGGAACAGTCTAGACCAAGGGAAGGGCAAACACACAGGCTCTAAAGGTAATGATGTACACCGTACGTTTTGAGTAAGAAAGCAGGTTGGTGGGGCAGGAGTGCTGTGAATGATGGCAGGAGAGGAAAAGACTGAGTCTGGGAAGGTAAACAGTGGTCACATCATGCAGGGCCATTAAGTCCAAAGGCAAGACACTGATGGGTTTTAAGAAGGTAGTAAATGATATTATTTATATTGTTCAATGGCACCCCAGTTCATGTTTAGCAATTTGATTAATAGGAATAAATGGAAATGAACAGATTTGATAGAAACCTACTGCTGAAGACTAAGTAAGAGATAACAGCAGGCTGTACATAAAAAGAATAAATATGACATGTATTTGGTGACAGAGTTGAGAGGGCTTAATATGAAATTATGGTACGAAGAGAAGAACATATGGAAATATCTAAAGATTCCCAGATTTCTTGCTTCAAGAGACAGGGAGGATGTTAGGGTAAAATCACATAATGGTAAATATGTGTCTTTCATAACATCTAGTATAACAGCAGAAGGCACAATCACTTTCATGCCTTTAATTTTACCTTCTCTTCTCATGGTGGCAGCACTAGAGGTGATCAGATTTGGGACAGATTCTAAAGGTAGAGCTAACAAGATATGACCTATCGTGTCAGACAGACACTGGGGTAGTCCTCATGATGTCCACCTCCTGGTATTCATAACCATGTACAATCCCCTCCCCTAGGAGGTAAGCAGGATCTATGACTTGCTTTTAACAAACAGAATATGGCGAAGATGATAGGATATCATTTCTGTGACATCCATCCTGCTAGCAGACTCAGTCTAGAGACTCTTCTTGTGGCCTGATGAAGTAAGCAGCTATACTGGTGAAGCTCAGCTGACAAGAAACTGGGTGGCCTCTAGGAACTGAGGTAAGCTCTAGGAGCTGAAGGCAGCCTCCGTAAATTAAGGACAGCCTCAAGTCAATAGCCAGCAGAAAGCTGGGACCCTCGGTTCTATAACTACAAGGAAATTGATTCTGCCAGCAACCTAAGTGAGCTTGGAAATGAATTCTTCCTCACTCAGGCCTCTAGATGAGAATGCAGGCCAGCTGACACCTTGATTACAGAGGACTCCTGACCAACTGAAATGGTGATAATAAATGCAAACTGTTTTAAGGTGCTAAGTTTGTGGTAATTTGTTATGTAGCATGAGATAACTCATAAATATACCAATACGGGGTGTGAAGAAACAAGAAGTCACAGATGACCCAAGATTTCTGCCTTAAGTAAATAGAAGGATGGAGTGGCCATTAACTGGGGGGGACATCTGGGGGAAGAGCAGCCTTGAGAAAAAGATGAGTGTGGGACATGCTGAGCATAAGATGCCTAGTACACAGCCAGAAGGTTGAGATGTCAATTAAAGAGCTGGAGATAGGGGATCAGGTAAAAAGTCTAGGCTGCAAATACAAATTTGAGAGTCACCAAGTATAAAGGCCAAGATACTATATGAGGTCACCAAAAGAGTGAATAAACAGGCAGCAATGGACCAAGGGTTAAGCCCTGGTCTGACATCATTCAGAAGTCAGTCAGCTGAAGAGAAACCAGCTAAAGAGGCTGAGAAGGAATATGGAATTAAAAAAAATATCAAGGGGATGTGGTGTCCTAGAAGCCAACTAAAGAAAGTGTTTAAAAGAGGAGGGAAGGATAACTGTATCAAATGTTGGTGCCAGATCAAGTAAGATAAGAACTAAGAATGGAAAATAAAAAATTCAGCTCCTAAGTCACACTAGCCATATTTCAGGTATGAAATAACCACATGTGGCCAGTGATACAACAGGGTAAATACAGAACATTTGAATGATGCCTGAAACTTCTATGAGACAGCACTGATCTACAGAAAAGATGACCATAAAGGGGCACAGATATAGGTGAAGGGGAAATGTGGTGGTAGGAGTTTGTGGAAATCATTTTCTGACCTTTATCTTTCAAAAGAGAAGCAGGAAGCAAGGCCATTAACTGAGAATGAAAACAGAAGGAAAGGTGGTAGGAATCTGAAAAATGAAAAGAAGATATTAGAGTTAAGAAGGAGAACAGGAGAGGGAGAGAGAAAGAATCAATGAATTATGGACCCATGTGGAGATCAAACACTGTTAGGGTATTAGAGAGAAATATCTGAAAAGATTGAAAAGTGTCTCAGGTAAGATTCCCTGCAAGCAGAGCTGGAGATAGAGATTCCTGTACAAGTGATTTACTGAGGGAATACTCTTTTGACAAACATCAGGAAGTGAGACAAGCAAGGTAGTAGGAAGGAGAGGATAAGTAAAAAGGTGGTCTCAGTTGAAGTATAGCTTTGGCCTGATCCCAAGGGGAGCCCTGGAACATGAATTTTCCCATGTAGAAGCAGGGTCAGACTCATGTACCTCCATCCAGCCAGTCAGCAGCTGGGGGCCAGGGTGACCATCCCATTTCGTCCAGTACTGAGGGGTTTCTTGGGATACAAGACTCAGTGCTAAAACTGGGAGAGTTCCAGGCAAACTGGTTGGTCACTACACTAGGGGACATCCTGGGGATA